>NC_000012.12:75035885-75187400 GCF_000001405.40 Homo sapiens
ACTGGTCTCCAATAAGGCACCATTTCCTGCCATGATTAACTCATTCTTGGGTGATAGGTTGATTATACTGGACTGCTTCCATCATGGGAGGGGCAACATTTAGTTCTTATTGGATTTATTGGATTACAGATTTACTCTGGATATAGATTTGTCTTCCTTGCACTCAATGCTTCTACCTAAACTACCATGCCTGGAATTAC
Source organism: Homo sapiens (assembly GCF_000001405.40). Taxonomy (NCBI): domain Eukaryota; kingdom Metazoa; phylum Chordata; class Mammalia; order Primates; family Hominidae; genus Homo; species Homo sapiens. The sequence goes on from NC_000012.12 coordinate 75,036,086, forward strand.
AGAATGCCTTATCCACTACACGTTTTCTACACAGCATTGCTTCTGATCAAGAAACTCACTTCCCAACAAAAGAAGCAGGACAGTGGGCCCATGCTCATGGAATTTACTGGTCTTACCATGTTCCCCACCATCCTGAAATGCTGGTTTCTGAGATAATGGTGAATGGCCTTTGGATACTCAGTTTATAGCACTAGCTAGGTAGCAATACTTGTAAGACTGGAATGAGGTTCTCCAGAAGGCTATGTATTTTCTGAATTAGCATCCAATATATGGTGCTGTTTCTTTCACAGCCAGGATTCATGGGTCTAGAAATCAAGGGGTGAAAATGAGAGTGGCACCACTCACTCTTACTCCTAGTGCCCCAATAACAACATTTTTGCTTCCTGTTTCCATGACCGAATACCCTCCTGGCCTAGAAGTCTTACTTCTAAAGGGAGAAATGTTTTCACCAGGGGACAAAACAACGATTCCACTGAAATGCAAGTTAAGACTTATGCCCAGTCACTGGGCTCTTCATGCCTGTTAAACAAAAGGCAAAGAAGAGAGTTACTGTGCTGGCTGGGGTGATTGACTCTGACTACCAATGCACAATTGGACTACTACTCTGCAATGCAGGCAAGAAAGAACGTGGCTGGAACACAGAAAATCTTTTACAGTGTCTTTAATGTTACCATATCCAGTGATTAAGGTCAGTGGAAAACTACAACAACCCAGTTCAGAAAGTTTGGGTAACCCCACCAAGTAAACCAGCTGAGGTGCTTGCTGAAGGTAAAAGGAATACAGAATGGGTGATGGAAGATGGTAGTCATAAATACCAGCTATGGCTATGTGGTCAATTTCAGAATTGTAATTGCCATGAGTATTTGCTCCTTATTTTGTTATGTATACATTGTATGTATGTATATAAAAATCTTTGTTTTCTTTTCTCTCATTTCTTTATCATGCAACATGATATATTTTGACTTTATGTTGTAGTATTTAAGCACTATTAATTTTGTATCAGAATTTTTAAGTTATAGGATATTAAAGAGAAGAGTAATCATCACTCAAGGAATTTATCGTCTCTTCTGGTTTAGTACACTTTTGGACAAAAACGCGATAGTTGTACTACATTAGGCAGAATTTTGACCTCATTCTTGTCTTTACTTGGAGATTATGGTTTAAGGAGCTGCTTTTGAAGTGCCAAGAGTGCCAAGTTGACAAGGAATGGATTTGTGATGGTTAATTTTATGCATCAAGTTGACTAGGGCAGACATCTAGTTAAACAATATTTCTGAGTGTGTCTCTGAGAGTGTTTCTGGAAGAAATTAGAATTTGAATCAATGGACTGAGTAAAGCAGATTGCCTTTCTTAATGTGGGTGGGCAAGATCCAATCTGAGTGCCTGAATGGAACAAAAAAGTAGAGGAGGAAAGATTCCACTCTCTCTGCCTGGCTGTTTGATCTGGCATGTCAGTCTTCTTTTCTTGGACTGAGACTTACATAAGTACTACTTCCTCTCAGGCCTTTGGATTTGAATGGGAATTTACACCATCAGTTCTGATTCTCAGACCTTCAAATTCAGACTGAAATTATACCACTTGTTGTCCCGGGTCCCTAGCTTGTGGATAGCAAATTATGATTATGGTACTTCTCAGCCTCCATAATCACATGAGCCAATCACTTATAATAAATCTCTTTATATAATTGTGTGTGGGGATGTGGGGATGTGGGGGGGTGGGGGGGTGGGTGTATTTTCATTCTATGAGTTCTTTTTCTCTGAAAAACCCTGATGAATACAATATCCAGTAGGTGAATGGATAAGCTGTGGTATGTCCAGAGAATGCAATTATTATACAGTGCTAAAAATAAATGAGCTATCAAGTCATGAAAAGACATGGAAAAACCCTAAATGTGTATTACTAAGTAAATAAACCAATCTGAAAAAAAAATACATACTGTACCATTCCAACTATATGACATTCTGGAAAAGGCAAAACTATGGAGACAGTAAAAAGATCCCCCCCCACCCCCGCTAAAATTAAGGGGAAGAAAGGATGAATTGGATTAACACAGAGGATTTTTAGGGTAAACTATTCTATATGATACTACAATGGTGGATGCATGTCATTATACATTTCTCAATACCCATAGAATGTAGAGTACCTATAGTGAACTCTAACATAAACTATGGACTTTGGGTATTAATGATGAGTCAGTGTAGTTATAGGCTCTTCAATTGTAACAGATGCACCCCTGTAGAGTGAAATGTCCATAGTGGGGGAAGTTGTGCATGTACGGGGGCAGAGCTACATGAAAATCTGCTGAATTTTCCTGCGAGGCTAAAACTTCTTTAAAAAATAAAATATTTTTTAAACAAATGAATGTTAGGTTATCTGGGATTCACAATGGTGGTGGCCACATCCTTTGACGATCTTAGTATTCAAATTGCATATTCAGTCGTTGGTCGCTTTGACATGATAGTGTGATAACAAAATCAATCTTGTAATATTAATTCTATCAAATTATTTTATTTTCAGAGAATAGTGAAACACATCATATCCTCTGAACAAAGTTTGGCGAAGAACAGGAAATTAGAAAATTTAAAATCAATATTAATGACACTGAGCTCACATTACAGAATATTAGCATATATCTATAGTTTAATAATGTTTGGGCATTTAAACAATTAATTAAATTTTGGCAGTGGAAATTGGATGGAAGAAAGAATTTTTTTCAGTAAGAAAAAAATTTAACTACATATTTTAATCATCTGAAACTTCCATGGATTTCAATAATTTAATAGATTCATTTAGCTCTAAATGTCTTCAAGCATGTCATAAATCCTCTGAAGTCTCTGCTTTGTAATGTAGCCTGTTAATATTCACTACAGCCTGACAATATTCATTGTCTAAGATAAGTTCACTTTTGCTATTCTATTAGTATGTCTAGTGATTTATTTCAAGGATAAAATGAATGTCTTAACTTTTCATTCATGACTTTTTAATCCTGATTTTTAATCAAAATTTGATGGCAATTATTATCTATTACAATGCATTATTTCCTCTTCCTACACATTTTTCCTTTTTACAGTAAATCCAACATCCTGACATCATTAAAAATATTTTAATAGTAATTATATTTGGACAGATTCCCTTTTCTGAGCTGTTTCTTAATAGTCTCTTAAGAGTCAACATGGAACATTTTTAGGCACAGAAAAGATATAGAAAAGATTTTGCTTTGCTTAGTCAAAAGTGTTGAATTCTCCAGTATTTTTTTCTTTTATCTCACCCCTCTCCTACCCCTGGATGGTGACATAGAAGTTTATAGGGTAAACTTATATGTATTCCCACAATATAAATGGAAGGCCAACTATGTATGATGTGCTTCTGAAAGAGAGGCCTGTTACCCAAAGGTGAGACAGAAGCCATCTTTGATAGGGCATTTACAACTAGAGGCCCAGTAAATATTTAATCCACAAAAAAGTATTACAGGGAACATTATCTGTGGCAAAAATGTAAATGAACAGTTCTGCCTCTCTCATCCTTAACTTTATCACCCGTAAAATGAAAACAAAATTATCTGCCTCTAGGATTGCTGTAATGATTAACCTGGAAAACATAAATATAAATTCAGCCCTTCGGGAGGCTGAGGCAGGAGAATTATTTGAGGCCAGGAGTTCGAGAACAGCCTAGGTAACATAGCAAGACCCCCATCTCTATAGGAAAAAAGAAAATTTCAGCACTAATCATAAATACTTTATAAATGTCAGATACCATAATACTCAGTAATTTTTAAATCTCAGAATTATGAGAGAAATATAGGCAGGTGAAAGAAGAAGAATACACTGGCTATTTGCCTAACGCTTGAATGATAGATAGTTAGAGCTGTGTATGTTTTTAAATCCTTTTATCCCAAATCCTTCATTGCATACAAGAGCCTGGTGTGATACCATAAAACATAAAAATAGTAAAGTCTGTTGAAAACTGCACCACAAAGAAAAGAGCCAAGACAATAATTTGAGTAATTTAATCAGATAACATTCAAGTTTATCCCCAGCTCATTTGCCTTTTATTCTTCATTTCAGTTAGTTACATTTCCACTGGTTATCATCAAGGTTGTGCATGCGCCTTGAAATGTTCACAAAAGGTCCACGATACAGGGATTTATAATAGGCTATATGTTATATTCAGAATCCCAGGGGAACTAATAGACTCTGAAAATATTGATTAAGCAAGATGTAAAAATCTTATACAGTTTCATCTACAACAGTTTTAAAGACACGTACAAGCTTCATTTGCCACAAAACTCACAAAAAAGTAATTGATTAAAGAATATCTCTTTTATGCAAAATATACATTTTAGGATATAATTTAATTGATATTCTACTATATACTGACATTGCTCCTTGATCATTGAATAAAAAAATACTCTCATTGCCAGAATTATGTTTTTGTAATATTTATAATTGAGGTAATAATGATAAAAGACTTAAACTATGAATAATGTTGGTGAGTTCCATTTAAGCTATAACAATTTCCCAGAACTAAACAAATATGTGACTAAACATAGGTCATTTTTGATAAATGAATACTAACAATTTCACAACATAATTGACAAGCTGATTACATCAGTAATTTATAAGAAAATTATACAATCAAGTTCATAGATTCAACCAAAGAAGTAGAAATAAGGGAAATTAAGACAAAACTATACTACATCAGTATCACTGCCTTAAGTAATTCACAGCACAACCTAATGTGGGCCCATGAAGAGTAATTCAAAGAAGTGTGGGCCTTACTTGAAACTTCAGAGATGTTGATCATGAATTTGGCTTCTTTTGATGAGAAATGGCCAAGACTGTTGACCCATGCACACATGTTGGTATTTACAGTTGTTTCATGGACACTGGCCAGTCTACAAGCAGAGCACTCTCATGGGGAGCACCAGATGAGTTCCAGCCGCAGTTCTTTTATAAGCTTTAAGTGCCTCATGAAGACGCGAGGATCTCTTCCAAGTGCAACCTGGTCACATCAGGGCACATTCAGCAGCAGAAGTCTGTTTCCAGTATAGTCCTTGGTATGGCTAAATTCCACTGTCCCTTTCTCAGCAGTCAATAATCCATGATAAATTCTGTACAACACTGTAGTCAATAACAGCAGCACCAGACAGCATATTAATTCTTTTACCATAAATTTGTGTGTAATTATAATGTTCTATGTGTGGTGTTATCAAAAGAATCACTGTGTCTCTAAATATCATATATGTATGTCTGGATAAATACATTGCTGTACAACATCTCCAACATGCAGGTCATGCTCTAGGACTTGGGGATATAGAGTAATACATGTTTCGTGGCCAATAATAAAAGTGACAATTGTCTTCCTAACAAAAAATAAACATGAGAAATAGGAATTAATCAGCAGTCTCAAGGCTCCCAAATGCCTTAGTGATATTATTTATCCCTCTATTTATATTACGGTCTTTTTCTTCCCTCACATGCTCAATACATGAGACACGCTATTGCTGTTGAATTCATAGGAATGCATAAATAGACTTTCTTCCACTCAGACTGAATATGACTCCCTAAGGATTTTGTTGGAGTGTAGTAATGAATGCTGGTTGCTAGGTAGTAGAAACTGACACTGCAGCAGGCAACCAAGTGCAATGGTGAAATTGCTGCTTAAACCCTGCTTATCAAAAAGATTCACAGTGCCGATTAACTTAGGTAGTCTACAGAGCATCATTAATTTATACACAAAGCAGAGAGGCTGCTCCAAATAGCAAAAAATGGTATGGAGTCGGGTTTGGAGGGAGTAAATATTAAAATCATAAACATCTTACAGAGGCATTTCTGTGCTTCATGGAGACAGATGGCATATACAGGAAAGACAGGGAGCTAAGACAGACAAGAACAACATACAGGACAAAGCACCTGATTAAACACTGCCTGAAAATCTGATTAATCTTTTGACTCAGGAATTTAAGGCTAGTCAAAAAAGCCTTCTGTGAACACCAGTGACATTTGATGTTTGCACAAAAAATTAATAAATAAAAATAAAATAAGGGGGTAAAAAAAAGACACAAGAGCTTTGGGTGATATTTGGCACTCTGCCTCTGAAAATGATGACAAACCCTGGGTATTTTTTTTTTTTAAAGAGTCTAGAACCAAGCAGCAATTTCTGGCTAAACAATGCAAGCCTGGCTGGCAGTTACCTTTCTCTCATGTTTTGTGCCTTCCCCAAGTCATTAAGTAAGAGATCTGGCCTCGGCTTGCGTGTAACCAGTAATGACAACCTCTTTGCAGTTATCTGTGTGCAAACAACCAGAGACATTCAGAACTCCAATACAGCATTTTTGAAGAAAAGTAAATCAATCAAGAAATTAAACTATTTAAAACATATATTTCTTTCAAATAATAAGAAAAAAATGTCAAGGAGAAAAGTGCCCTCCCTGCCCCACAATTCAACATGCAGAACAGTCGACCAATGCTTTCATATCAGCAGGATGGTTCGATGCAAGTACACATATCCTGAGCTATCCACAGTCCCCGAACTCTGCAACATTGCTTTCAGGTGATAGAGACAAGATGGTCCATGCAAATGAGCTGACACAAGTCATGTCGTGTGCAATCAAGATAGGATCCCAGACATCTTCAGAATGGTTTACAGTCACAAGAAATAAAGTTCCAATGAAGTGGTTGGCATTTGGAAGCACACTGTTTTAAATATATCTCCCTGAAGGTATGTTTATATATTAGTGCACTGGTCAATATCTGACACTATCTGTCATTTTATTGCAAAAGGATATCAGGGCAATTAATAGGAGGGATCTTAGCACTACTTTAGACAATCTTTAAAGCCTGGGTAAGATTCATTAGCTACCCAAGTGGCATTTCTGACTTCAAATTGTAGTATCATGCAAGATTTATACTGTATTAATGGAGCCTGGAGTAACTCTACATTTAATTATTTCCATTATGGGGTAAACAGCACTTGAATTAATACAATTTAGCCGACTGATGCAGTTTGGTTGTTTGGTTTACAAGATAGATGGGATGGGAGATCGAGAGCGCCTCAGAGGACAAGGAGAGTTGTAGGGTGATGTTACTGGAGAGAGCCTCAGAGCATTGCCTGCCAAGCCCGCTATGTTGTTTAAGCTTCGGGATTTTTCATATCCTTTTATGAAAAAATGCACAGACATCAGTTGAATTCAACCAGAATATAGACAGACAAATAATACCATGCAGGGCAATCAAAAGTGCTACTTTCAAGCTCAAAGAAGAATTTGTTTACAAAGAATTTAATATTGAGACAATTTATAACTCTAAAAAAATGAAGCTCACTGTAGTTGCCATTTTGAAAAGATTAAACCAGCCATCACAAATTATTGTTACAATACTTCAAAATATATTTTTTCCCAGATTATAGTTAGCATTAATATAATTTTGGCATATAGAATACTAGAACTCATTTAAAAATTAGGCAAAGCAACTTAAGTAAGATATAAGCTTGACTAATATTTTTAAATTTCAGAATGTATTCTTGAAAAAAAGAGAAATAAGTAGGCTACTTTTTCTCTTTTCATTTTTTATTTCCTAAGCCAATAAAGCATACTTAAGTTTAAATGGACAACTCTTTTTCCAGCATATTTAATCTTCCAGCTTTATAGGGTTAAAAGATGATTCTTAAATAATGGCATTTGGTGCCATTATCCAGGTGATGTAGGATGGAATGCCCATTTCTAATTCCTTGGGTAAGAAAAGTAAAGGAAAAAAAAAGAAAATGAATGAAATATAAATTAAGTCATAATTTCAGTGAAATAAGTTTGAATTTGATTACATGATGTTTTCAGCTGATTTCCACCCCCGACCTTCCCACCCAGGAATTGAGAATAATTTGGTGTTAATTCATCTTTTCTTTCTATTATATCACACCTTGATCTTTTGTTCATGATAGCTACGAACTTACAAAATAAAAGATGCTCTCATAAACTTTAGTCTTATTCCTTAGCTACTTAAGCAACCCTATCAAGGTCACCTTTGGAAATATTTGCATATTTTAGTATTTTTTATTACAAAATATTACAGACAGTTAAACGAGGTGGAAAGCACCTAGTATAAATTTTGAAGTGAAATATCTTAAAGCAGGGCAACTATTGACTAAAAAAGTAGTCATGCTACAAAGCTTTGGAGATGAATATTCTGACAGCTTCTTGAAAAATTGTTATAGAACAGGAAAATGAAATTCTTTTTTGGCAACCAAAATTGAGCAAGTAGATACAATTCTAGTGGACTACTTGCCTCCCTTACACTATATGACTTACTTTTTGGATTCTAATCAGACCTCAGTGTACTCGATGAGTGTGTGAGAAAAAAAAAATGGGTCCATTGTTTTTCTTTATGTACCTTTCAGCTATTCATCTTTAATTCAATCTTTTCATGGAACTTCCAGAGAAGAAGCCATGGATAGCTTTCCTCTTTTCATTGGAAGAGAAAAAGTGATGTATCTGATTATTTTATGTATGAGAGGCCAAGACAGACATAGGTATGGATCGCAGTAACAGCTCTCTTACGGGGTAAAGCTCTCTTATGAGGTGAAGCTGGACTGGATAAGAAAAGAAAACGATGAACATTCCCCTCCCCTCACAAAATGCACACACATTAACCTTCAGCAGACTAGTTGCTTTCTTAGAAATTTTGTAGATAGAAATTTATGTCATCCATTAACTATGATAAATGTTCTCTAGCACATAGTCTCTGCTAATTAAATAATTATCTGCCAATGTTTTGTTAGTATTCTGAGCTATAAAACATGAGAAGTGGTATATATTTCATTTTATGTTGGTGAATGATGGAATAGTGGGAGGATATCTGGAATAATATTTAAGAATTGCAAGTAATTTGTCCCTAAATAGAAATTTTCACATGCACAGAGGGTTAGTTATTACTGCTCTTCTGAAAAGTGACTGAAAATATAACTTTGGGAATTGTAGGAAAAAATTATCCTATGCCATCGAAGTTGACTGTATAACCTAAAAACGTAAACTAGACGATAAACATTGATTGGCTTCGATTAAAGGCGAAGTGGTGAATATGCATGAACTAAATGGGCTGTTAATAATTATACATCATCACACAGATTTACAACTCTGTTCTCTACAATCTCCTTGCTCCTACAAGACCCCCAGAAAGATAAAATTCTCTTTGGCAGTTTTATAGTGTTCATGCCAGTAACATATAAAACTTGGTTGCCATTCTAAATGTTATCTTTCTGAATTATAGTTTTACTATAAATATTCTATTCTGTTTATGGGTCCTATATTTCTAATGACTATAATTTCAGTGCCTATTTGAAAAGGCTTCCTTTCTAATTTAGTAACAAGTATTTATTAGTAAAACTATATATTATTCATGTACATATTTTTTCTTTATTCTACATGTTCATTTATGATTAGAAAATTTGATAAAATGTTGCTTAATCAAGGTTTTACTCGAATGGCTAAAAATATAATTCATGAGGGTAAACACTGTTGAACTTATTTTGAACTAACTTCTAGATATACAGCATTCATTTTAAATAATTCTTAAGAGCATGAGCTTATTTGTGGCAATACTGAAACTACCTACCCATGTGCTATTCACGAGCATGTTTTAGTTTATGCAATATGCTTTCTTAAAACAACAAACATGCATTCTAAGTATTGAGAGTTTACTCTTTTAGTGAATCCTTAAAGTTTTCTTAATATATGCCCAATTACGTTCATATTTTTAGCTAGAAAAATAATTCAGTGGGAATCCAGTAATTTATTTTCACTTACAGAGAGAATTTTTAAATATTAAAATCAAATCAGCAGATAGACCAACTTGAGGGATAAATAAATGAAAGGATTATATAGAAAATAAATGAATAGAAATAACAGCAGAAATCTATAACCTACAAAAAGGGAAACAGGAGAAGAAATGAATAAATTTGTGATAGATATGATAAGATAACCAACTGAAACGATTAAGTGAAGTTAGCCAGAAGTACTATCATGCTTAGTAGGAAAAAACATATAACTATAAACTACTTAAGCAAGAATGAAAAAGAGTTGATTATGATAAGAAATGACAAACAATAAAAAACTCATGAATAAATTTTCAATGATGTTCTCACTAATAAAAAGAATTTATATTTGTGAAATAAGATTGCATGTATAAATTTTCCATGCAAACTAAATATCTTATTAATTGCTTTGCTTGCAAAACTTTGCAATTTTATAGTAAAACTTTGTATTTAGATAGTGCCTTATAATTTGCAAAGCTTTTTCTCATTCGTGATTTTCTTTGACAGTTTAAAACTCAAAACATTGTCTAACATAGAAGAAAAACATTCTAGAGTTCTTTAAACACATAATCTTAGTATAAATATTACATGTGATAATCTTATTGAATGCTGCTTAAAAATGTATGTAAATTTAACATGTATATACATTGCATATAGTGATTTAAGATATTCAATGCACTTGGAACAGCATGTTCTATATAAAATATTAGTTTGATATGATGATTATTATTTAACATGTACATATATTTTGCTCAAATACTATGATAGTGTATTCACTCTCTTCAAAATATATTTAAAGATTTTTCTAGCACATATTTAATGTAAAACAGTAAACAACCAAATAAATCTATTGAGAGGATTGAAATACATTTTGGTGCAAGAAATAGATGCAAACAATGGAAGTAATTGGAATGGAGAGGTATTTAAAATATTACTCATGAAAGGAACAAGAGTCTTTTGTCTTCTCTTTTAAGTCTCAAAGGCATAGAAGCAGAGAAGAAAAATCTAAAGTGACCAAAAGAAATGAAGAGAAGTACAACATGGGCAATAAAATATTTCAAAGAAAAAGAGATTCACAAAATAAATATTTGAACCTTAAAATGGTAAATAATTCAATAGGGAGAAACTCCAATGAATAACAACTAAGCACGGTATTATTTAAATGCAGTTGTGCTAATATGAAAGTTTTAAAGTGGATTTTTATTCAAATTCAGTCAATTACCATAAGACATTATTATAGTTATTTCCCTATTCTGTCAACAAACAGAGGAAAAATAACTGTGGCAATAAAGCAACTGGAATTGTCAAAGTAGAAGCTAATAATAAAGCATACCACTTTTGACAAAAGTGGGTTATAATAGTCACGAGACTATTTTTAAAGGGGAGGAAAAGATCCCAATTGTCCTAAGGTTGTAAAGTTTACCAAAAGGGAATAAAAAACCTTTTAGGGAATAGTTTAGACAGTTGGTACAATCAAGGGAAAAGGACCCAAATGATAAGTGGGAGCTTCAATATTCTGTTATACTCTTTACCAAAGATGCTCATCCCACAATTTTTATTCATTCAATCAAGATTTATTATCTTCTAGGTGTCAGGAACAGTTCATGTCTGTTGAAAAATAGTAATAAAAGGATTTTTTATTATTGGTCCTGAAGAAAAATTCTGTAAGTGCATTTTGTGAGTACACAAGTAGGCTTTGAAGTGATTAGACATACTGTTCCATATGACTGCGGATCACGAGCCTTTGCAACCTTGAGACCCTCAGGTAAACCACTGGCAAAAACTACCTATGTACTGGATTAGAAACATTAGAGAACGTTTAATGCTTTACTTTGAGAAAAAAAAACTTATAATTGTTTTATAGTCATGAATTACTCATCAAATATGTGCACAGAGCCAATTAGTGAGTTTTATTTTTTGCAGTGAGAAAAGATAACTTTTAATGACTGCAGAGTACATTATATTAAAGTAATTGGATAAGTGATTTAATATTTACATATTCCATTCCAATTCTGCCCATAGACAAATGGCAAACCAAAGAAGAGAGAAAAAAGGATGAGATGTCTTTCAGATATGACGATCACATAGGTTATTATGTATTTTAACAAGTTTCTAAGGAGAGAAGATGTAATGAAGAGAGGAAAAGAGCACTGTACGCAGTCTTTCCTAGAAAATGATGAATGAGCATTTTACATTACTCCATGTATTTCCAACAGTTTATTGCTAAGTCACCTGTTATGATCTGATTAAATGCATGCCTACCTTTCCTGATCCCTCCATCAGAAGCACACGTGTAATCACCTGTCGTCAGTAGGAAACATGTTTCCCCTCTTCTGTTTTTGTCTCTGGTACTAGAGCGTCTGATGGGGAGCCTTTCTGGGGGTGATAGTGGCGGCTCACTTCCTGTACTGTCGTCACCTGATAACACTGGTCACAGCACCATGCCCATTGACAGACAGTGATGAATGAGGAAATGAGACAGTACAAAGAGTTTACACAGAATGCCGGTAGTCCAGTCACTCGATATACAACACACAAGAATCACATCACAATAAGAAAAAGAATTTTTATCACTCTTCACGAAAAATTACATGGAGCAAAATGGAAATGTATTGAAAAGAATAGAAATGTTTTTTGGGAGATTTTAATTCCATTTTGGATTTTATCTAATAGGAAACTGCCTTTCACACGACTAATATGAATTCAAAATAAATGTGAAAATGAAGAAGCATGTGGATTATTGTCTTACAATTTTTGACGTTATCTATTTACTCTGAATAGGAATATTTAAAAATGGAACCTATTTAAGAAAATATCTTAAGTAAACTTTGGCTTTGTGGTTTTTTAAGAGACATGCTTTTATTAATTTCTGAAAGCATTGTGTCCAAAACTCTTAATAAAAATTATTCCAAAGCACACAAACTCCGTTTCCAGGTAGTCAATTTTGAAGCGGCAAGATATTTTTGAGCATGCAGTGGAACAAGGCCAACTTCTCCAAATGTCCTTGAAATAAGTATCTGTTTACTTCTGTATCCTTGCCAAAGACTTTCACCATCCTATTGGCCTAGATACTAGCTTGTTATTTCAATGTTTACCTGGGATGATAGTGTGTCCTCTTTTCCCATGCCCTTCTTAAAGGCTCTGCATAGATACTTGAGAATAGTTTGATGAGAGCAGCAACACCAACTAAACTCTACCTTTCATAAATACATTCTTAACAGTTGTTAGATATATATTAGAAGAATTTGCATAGCAATCTACTAAATAAGCATAAGGACTGTGAATGAAACTTACAAACACTTACAAACTTCAGCTCCAGCCACATTGTTTTTTCCATTTACCTCATTAAAATTTCTAGAAGCTAAGGAGGGACCTATGAAAATGATGCCTCCTTTTTTGTTAGTTTGCTTTGTTAGTTGATGTTACTTCTAAATTATGCAAAATCATTCACATAAAATCATCATAAGTCATTTTTCTGTAAGAAAAAATGAAATGAAATTTATCTAAGTTATGGGGAATCAATAAACCCTACATTTTCCTAGTAGGGTAAAAGCTAATTAAATTGTTTAATCTGCAAAATATTTTACCTGTACCAGACAGTAGACAAGAGGTGACATCACTATTACTTTGGCAGCTGAATGTCAATTTCTAGTCGATCAACTCTACATTGTCTATAGCAATGGGGAGGAGCAGAGATTCAACTAATCTCAAGCAGTAAATCATTCAAAATTCAGTTCTGAGAGAGAGCAGAACCCAACACATTGTACCTAAAAAGGAATTCCACTGAGAAATTCAACTTTGCCATTGAGTGGCCAAAGCAGATCATCTATTCCCTGAAAAATGGTGGGTTAATTATATTACATGGCATGGACCCTCATCAAAGGGGTTATAATGAGATACCCTACTTAATTTAAGAACAATGAAAATTTAATCAATCCTCCAGGATATTACTAGGGAAGAGCTTTGTTATCAAAAAGGTTATCTTCCATATCACCTGTTTGGAGTTTAGGCCTTTGAAATGTAAGCATCCATTCTTCTTAAATAACTGCTTCTTGTGAATTAGGTTGAGATGCATGGCACCATGTGGCAGAGGTAAAACTGAGACAAACACACCAAGCCAAACGATATGGAGATCAACATTTTGAGGATGAAAGATGAAAAATGGCCAATATCATACCATCACATCGTGCAGGGAAACAAAGAAACATTGGCACAAAAGCAACAAACAGGCAAAAGAAAATATTGGCACCATCAGCAAAGGGCATTCCCACTAAAGCAGGAAAACTCTATAGACCAGCTATGCCATCTCCTACTTGGGGTTCAATTAGAAAATGCTACAGTCTAGCTATCTACAAGCCTGACACAAACACACATTTCGTGAAAGGGTTAGGGCTGAAAACTCATGAACATTTGCAGAAAATGAGAATGACTGCCTTCTGCCTAAGGAACATACTGGTCTATAAAGTATTTAATAACATGCATTTGAAGTCCTGCCTTACCTGATCTGTTATGTTCCAGAAGTCGATTGTCTTTGCCCAGACATGTGTCACTCTGTGTACTATTGCAGGCCATATTTAATTCTGTCTTGCAAAAAGTAGGTGAGCTTGCCTGAGGAGCAGGAGGGATGTGCTTCTTTCTTTTCCTTGGAAGTTTCTGCTTTGCCATTGCCAAGGAGTAGTACATTCCAAAATTATTGACAATGACAGGCACTGGCATGGCTATTGTCAGCACTCCAGCCAGAGCACACAGGGCTCCCACCAGCATGCCTGACCATGTTTGGGGGTACATATCCCCATAACCCAGGGTAGTCATGGTCACTACAGCCCACCAGAACCCAATGGGAATGTTTTTGAACTGTGTGTGCTCACTAGCTGAAGGGTCGTTAGGTTGAGCTCCCACTCTCTCGGCATAGTAGATCATGGTAGCAAATATCAAAACTCCTAGAGCCAGGAAAATTATCAGCAGCAAAAATTCATTAGTACTAGCTCGAAGAGTATGTCCAAGCACCCTCAGACCTACAAAATGGCGGGTGAGCTTGAAAATTCTCAGGATCCTCACAAACCTTACCACCCTGAGGAAGCCAAGCACATCTTTAGCAGCTTTGGATGACAGCCCACTGAGTCCCACCTCTAAGTAGAAAGGTAGGATGGCCACAAAGTCAATGATATTCAAGAGATTTTTGATGAATTCAAGTTTATTGGGTGAAAAAACAATACGGACTAAAAATTCAAAAGTAAACCACACCACACACACTCCTTCTACATACGTCAAGGCAGGATCCGTTTCAATTTCATACTGTAGAACAACACTTGTGCCATTGATGACTGGTTCTGTCTTGTTTTTAACAATATTGAAAGCTTCATGTGTTTCCAGGCAAAAAGTTGTAATTGAAACCAGGATGAAGAATAAAGAAGCAAAAGCAATAAACTGTAGAGGAAAAAGAAATAAAAAAACCCATAGTGATCTGAATCGTAATATATGTTGATTCTAATCTAAAAGCAACAATCCCTGTAAATAAAAAAGAATAACAGCATATTTAGAGGTTTCACTTGGATATGACCTAAGGAAAAGAAGATACATGTATGTAACATTAATTAGAGTGTACAGGTAATGTATTTCAGGTTCTGTTTTCAGCTTATAGATACAAAGGTTTGCTTTATGTTGGAATATAATTTATTGAGATTTTTTTGTGTAAGAAAATATAACCTGTAAAGAGAACATGAAAATCACTGTAAAGGAATTGCAAATGAAAACACACCAAAACAAAAGAGAAATTTAGATGACAGTTTATGATCCTAGAAATCTTTATGCATATGATCAAGTTTTAAACCTTTAAATTTAAGGTGCATGACACAGTGATAGAAATTTGGAAGCTACCCAAATTTAACTGTAGATTTGTATTCATATATAAAATGTTCTGGATATCGTATGGTAACAGCATGAAAAAAAATCTTTGCAATATGTGCTGCCATGTAAATTACATCAACTTCAGGTGGAGACTTGTCCAAAAGTGCAAATTTAGGGAGGAAGAATAAATAAGACTGAAAGGAGAAAAACCCAGTAAAGGAGCAATTTAAATGAAAATGTCTTCCTCTCTTGAAAATGGATCTCAAAGTGTTCGAGTAACATACTATAAAGCTGAAAGAGTTTTCTTAAATTCAATTCATTTCTTCAGCCAATAATATATGACTACACACACACACCTACCACCAACACAGAATAATAAAAAAAGCACTCATATAGTTCTTAGTAGTACCATATACTGTTGAAAGTAATTTACATCATTAACTCACATCAATCCTCATAACAGCACTACTCCTACTCCATTTTACAGTTCAGGGATATCAGGACAGAAAGTTTAAGCTACTTTTCCATGGTCATAAACTACAAAATGATAAGCCTGAGTCACTAACTTGACAAATTTAGCTGCAGATTCTGTTCCCCTCACTTACCAAACTCTCAAATGCAGAATACAAATGTGTTGAAAACCATTTATTTATGCTGGGATCACATACTTCTTAATATTAAAGATCTGAAAACTTGAAATCCAGCTGTTTGAATGAATGGCACTGTTATAGTCAGCAGTGCTAGAGATCACTAGTAATCTGTGATAACACTCAGGTTTAGCATGCTAAATGAACACCAATAGGTTCTTCCTTAAATGTCTAAACAAAAGAGTCATTCAGGAGAAGGAAGTTGTCAGTCAAGCGGAGGGAGGTTCTTACTTGAAAATAATAGAATGTATCCAAAATCCAAAGTTGCCCCTAATATCTAGTCCTCAAGCATGCCATTGGGAAGAGCTGAGACAGTTCAAGAAGAGATTGAAACCACCTCCCTTTTTACCTGGTTGAGTTTTAATCCACCAAAATGTAAAGGGTATACAAAAGGACTAAAATATCTTAGGACTGTGGCTATCTGCCTTAAAGAACCACCTCAAATTATGGAACTTCTTCTACAGTGTGCCAGTTAGTACATCAGCTGTATAGTATTCTAAGGCAGGTCATTTTCATGGCTTTGACTTGCTCTTTCATGCACATTTTCCAACTGCTCTAAGTTTTGGCAATGTGGTCTGATCATTAGCTTTCCCAGACGTTTTATGAGATAATAACATTCTTTTGTCATTCAGTTTTCCCTTTGTACAAGTAAATGTACTACTATTTTTTAATCAATCATTTGTCGTAACACTTAGTATCATAAAGATCCTATGTACACATTAAAAGATAACCTTTCAGAGGAAGAATCAGTTATCCTCTATTCATAAATTACTTCTTAATCTAATCCCAATTTTATCTGTAGATTTAGGAGTCATGATTGTTTCTTATTCTACCTAAAATCTTTTGTCATTAGAGTCCTGCCAATATGTACCTACTAACTCCCACCCCAACTACACTCTTCACCATCCCTACTTTAGACTGAAGCATTTCAGGCATTTACAGACTCAGAAGAATCTTCCTAAAGCCTTTATAGCTCACTACCTCCTTAGTAATGGGATGTGTGTGTGCGTGTGTGTTTGTGTGTATTTTGACAAAATTTTGGTTTCTATGCAAATACTTGTGCATAAATAAAACATGTGAACAGCCTACAAATATAAACAGATCTAAGACACAAAACTTTGAAAACCAAAAGTTGCTTGTTTATGTAAGTTGTTTGGCACTTGTATTTATCAATATTTTATTGGCAATATTTAAAGGACCACACCATGATTTTGTATTTGTATTATTCTACTTTGCTATTTTTATAATTCTGTATATCTTTAGCTTTTAAGTACTTTGTAAATTTGCCAGTTTAATACCAAAGTTGATTCCATTTTCAAATATTCTTTTTATTTTCCTATTATAGTAATATTTTGCTATAATATATATTACATAATTTATATAATTAAATAATTATTTTTATTATATATAACATATATAAATATATATAGTAATATTTTTACTCTAAGAGGAAAATAAAATAATATTTGAAAAAGAAAACAACTTCGGCATTCTGAGAAAAAGACAACATTCATCTCAGAGGTAGATGATTATTTTGCTTTAAGAACAACCAGAGAGGCCAGGCGCGGTGACTCTCGCCTGTAATCCCAGCACTTTGGGAGGCTGAGGTGGATGGGTCGCTTGAGGTCAGGAGTTCAAGACCATCCTGGCCAACATGGTGAAACCCCGTCTCTACTAAAAATACAAAAATTAGCTGGACATGGTGGCACATGCCTGTAATCCCAGCTACTTTCCCAAGTACTGAGGCAGGAGAATCACTTGAACCCAGGAGGAAAAGGTTGCAGTGAGCCAAGATTGTGCCACTACACTCGAGCCTGGGCAACAGAGAGAGACTCTGTCTCCAATTAAAAAAAAAAAAAACAGCCAGAGAGGCAATGTTTTTATTTGTGAAAGCTAAAAACGCTTGTCATAATCTGGATTCTAATCTTAGGATAATAATCTTAGGATTCTAAGACAGAACAAAAGTATGCTTGACAATAACATAATAGAAATTTGGAAACTGAGGTTGAATTCTGAAGAGGGGAAAAGGAAAAGCTCTCTAAGGAGAAGGAGGAAGAGCTGAAAATGTGATGTTCAGCAAATGAGAAATTCCTTCACAGGTCCAGTAGCAGAACTTGAGAATAACAATGGAGAATATTAAATTTTAAGATGATGCCTTTTCTGTTTTGCTTTCAGCAAAAGGCTATTTTATAAAATGAGCTTGATGTTGATTCTGCTTCAAGGAATGAAGGTATTGGGCCAGCAGAGGACAAAAAGAGGAGAGAAGTTAACCATGGGAGGCGGGATATGTTATAGGTATAAGAAACACAGAAGAGTCATAAAAATAAGAATGCCAGGTAATAAGGGGAAATGTAGCACCCATGAAAATTCTTGGAGATACTGAGAAGGTACAGAGTTTCCCATGGAAGGAAGAGGAACTCAGTTTGTTAGCAATTTACTTCAAGTATCAAATGAATGGGTGACCCAGTGGCTTTGAGGACTCAGAATTATCCAGAGGCAAACACTTGGGTTGCATTAGCAAAGACTTGGTGCGCTTTATCTGAACTTAATTCTAAGCTCTTTGGATATAAAGAATGTTTTCTTTTGTTTCTGGCTCACTGAGTAGAGCTTAAATGGGTAAATATGAGGTTACATTGAATAACATTCAGCAAAAGAAAGTAAAAAGGAAAGAAATGGAGGGGAAGAGATTTTATTTGTATTTTTTCCTTCACTGAACTGAGAAATCTTCAAGGACTAGACTGGCATCATATTCACTTTTTGTATTTCTTGCTCCTTGCACGATTGTTACTACTGAGTATGGCAGGATAGATAAAGGGGTGGAAGAATTAATGAAAGAATAAATGAGGAAATGAATAAGATAGACCACATTCCAGTGGGAATTAAAATGATATGAATAAAAGGTAAGTAATATAAATCAAACAATGAAAAATGAATATTGAAGCAAAAAAAAAAGCCAAATTTAAAAAGCAAATTGAACTGGCTTATGGGTCCAAATGTCGTCAATAGTACCTTCCATTCATTCTCTTAATGGAGCATGTGTCTTAGCAAGAAAATGGGGAAGAGAATCACACTGCCATCTCTCTCTGTCTTTTCCCTGTGATAAGACCAAAAACTCCTCCAGACATTAATTAAAAATAAAATTAGGCATGCTGAATAATTGAAATGTTAGAAAGCTCTCCAGACAAGGTATGTCATGTCAACTGATTGTACAGATCTGATGCATCATCCCAGGTAGTTTCAGAGTAAAAATACTCTGTTAAAATATTGGCTTGTGAGTCTAATCAGTAGGCACATTTTTCTCCGTTAGTCATGTCCATGTATTTAATTACAGAGAATGGCCAGGACTCTTATTTTTTTCCAATCAGTGACCATGAGTTGGAAGTCTTCATAGTCCAGGATCTCCATGGAGGGTCTCATGTCAATTTACCTCAATGCAAATATTTAAGCAAATTTTTAGGTATGTATAATAGGCAGAGAGAAAGTGATGAAAAGTGGGGTATATTTTTATTTTCCTCATTTTCTCTTTCTTGTTATCATTAAAATGAGTGAAATTGAGCTCTATAACATATTCACAAATGCTTATTCATTTTTTCAAAACTGTGCCTAGACTGTGTCCTTTCTCTGTGCTACTCTCGCCCAGGATCACTAATATTGCAGCAATTTTCACATACTTTTGTTAATAATTCCACATATCCACAAGTTGCTCAGAGAGACTTAAACATTCTATCCCCAGGACCATGACTTAAAGCAAGAAGTAGGTCTTCAGCCCCTGTTGTGAAATTAGTAAAAGAATAAATTATAAAATTCTGTTGATTTGGTATGCAAAAATTCCACTGGAGCCAACACAGAATCTGCCTTTTAAAAGTTACTTCATCCTCCTATTATTTACAATAGAAAAATCAGCCTATACTATAAAATATAAAGGAAGAAAAACTTAAAAAATATAAGGCTCATCTCTATTTTGTAAATGAAAGTCAGAGAGATAATTTAATATTTGAAAATTAACATCATGGGAAAATCATGAAAATAAGCTACCTAAAATATAATACTAAGGAATTTCCATTTTTATAATTTTACATAAGTTGCATTATTTTTAGTTTGTATTTCTAAGGACATTATCTTTCCAAATGGGAATACTTCATGCCTATTATGCTCCTGTTGCTTTTCTTTCTTAAATAATAAAATAAAGACTAAAGAATTACAAGAATTTTAAATGTTCAAGTATCAGAAGTTCATGTAATCCTGTGATCCAAAATTTCCACTTTTAGAAATTTACTGTAAAAAAATTTACATTAAAGTACAAGGATAGACAAATAGAATGATATTCAATGAGGCATTATTTATAATTAAAAAATAAAAATGTCTGTCTCTGAATTGATGGTATGTCTGTAATATAGCATTCCAAGGAATTAGATACTGCAACATGTACTTACATGGAATGGTCTCCAAGGAATCATGTTAAGTTAAAAACAAATGACTGCAGAACAACAATATGCAGAATGTAATCTCATTTTTTCTCATTACATACAACTAATAAAGCAAATGAACAGAAACACTATATTTTTAGGAGTGGTTATAGCTGGGTGTAAGAGTGGCATTAAGCAGAGGTATTCCTAATGAGAAATCCTAATTCATTCCATAAATGTCTGAAAAGTTAAAATTCTCTACAAAAAACTTTAAGCATGTATTCTAGGTTTAATTTTAAAACAAAATTCAAAGTAAGTAATAACCAAGAGAAGGTTAAGCCTGATTATTCTGAATGACCATTAAGTTGATTTTATTAACCCATAGAACTTATAAATTGGAAGTTTTTAATTTTTCTTCTTTTTTACAGCACCATAAACTCAGCTGATGGTCTTAATTTTGTGTATATTCATGTCTTATACACTAATTTTGCCATAATTAACGAGTTTGTTGTTCATAGAACTTTGGTCTCTATAGAGAGAAAAAAATCTCTTTCATTGCTAAGTCTGTCCTTAAAGGCCAATCAAGTAGGAACAAGTAGGGTCCACTGTCTGGTCTGCTGGTTCCATGCAGAGCTGAGAATTAATTCAGTTTCTTCTGAGGCTGTTGATAAAATCAATTTTTTTTATCCAAGTTTTACCACTTAAAAACAGATCCACAAACATTACCACATTTATGGTATTGAATTAGATTGAAGAAAGCTGGCATTTCAATGAAACCACTATACACAATTACCAAGCTTGGAAATCAGTAAAAAAGATTAGACTTCAGGTGTCTATATATAAATGTGTGTATATATCACACGTTACAGATTTTTATATCTATATCCACATAAAGTGTTTCTATGTATAAATAAATATTTAAGTACAGATTATACATAAACATGTATATATTATAAAGATTGTTATAGAAATAGGTATAAAACAATATAACATTCACTTCTAACATAAAAAAAATACCCAAAATTACTATTGACCACTGAGACAGATGTGGTCCCTGATAAATATCTTCTACCATGTTTTCTTTATATCCTTATCCAATGTACATATACAATCCTTCCTCTATATTTTTATTTTGAGGACACAGATTGATTTAATTGGAATTGTAATTGTTTGTTTAGAGTCAAGGCCTATCCATTCACACAAAAATGTAATTTTCTGGGATACAAGAAAGAAAGGCTTGATGTGTTATTGGTATTATCACAATGAATTATGGTGTACAAAATTAGGTAACCAGAATTAAAAGTCATCAATTATGAACATATAGTATCATTTTGCTTTCTTAAGTATCATGATGAAATTTAAAGTGTGTAATTACCATATTTTATAAAAATGTTTTTTATAATTGTTTCATTACACTGAAGAAAATTTTTATGCTTTTCACTCTTAATAATGATAATGGACAATATATAGCAATTTCATGACATAAACCAGAATTGTAATTTCAAAATTGCAATTATTTAAAATTCCCCCTAATATTTTTATCTTTAATATATTTAATATAAATTTATTTTTAAATGATTAATTTGTCTTGGTATGATATGAACTGCTCTACCACCATCTAGTGTTATAGAGTCACATTATTAAGCCTTATCTGCTATGAGTCCCAATATGTCTTTCTTGAAGCCAACAATCATGTCCCAAAATAAATTATCCAAAAATATTTGTTTTTACTTAATGGAAAGTGATGGAGGTGAAGGGAGGTAACTAGCTTACAAACACCTGCTGAAGAGATGTTCTGATCCAGAAAAGTCTGTTTCTTTTAGCACTATGGCACTGCAGTTAAAGCACATCTTACATAGTGCCACCAATGTCTGTCTACCCTGCAGTACCACCTTTGTTAGTCCAGGTACCTGTAAACCAAAGGGTCCCCAAAACCTCAGTCTCAAATATTATTGTTCTTGCTGTCCTTATTCTCCTTGCTCAGTAATTTTTTTCTAAAACCATAACATAATCCCCAGGTAGCCAATTTCCATCCAGCTATGGGAGCTAGACCCACCTGTAGCTCCAATGAAGCCCCATATTACATATTAAGTTAGAGCTGTAGTACTTTTTCTTCCTTAAGATCTTTGTTTAGTGGACATCTGCTCCTCTTTGCTAATCAGCTTAGGCAGAACCCCTCCAATCCTATCTGGTACACTCCAGCAGGTGTTCCTATTCAGATGTATGAGCAGCAGACACTAGAGTCTCCCTTCCTCCTGTGTCTGAGGAGCACTTTTACAAGTACTTGCAAACTCTTCCCAGAGAGCAGAGGTAAATTTACACTAAAAGATCCTGTGTAAATTGCAATTTGGTTATGAGAAACAAGGAAACCATATTTAAAATCTATAAGAGATTGATTGATTGGCTGTGTAATTGGAAGTACAATAAAATGAACTTTAGTGTTGCATGCCTTAACAAGTTAACTATATCAACTGCTTTCACATCATGGTCTAGGGACTCCTAGTAGCCATGAGGCCTTTTCTGGGGTCCATATAGTCAAGCATAGTTTTGTAGTAATACTAAAATATTTCTTGCCTTTTTCACTCTCATTGTCTCACTTGTTTACAGTGGAGTTCTCTAGAGGCTACATGACATGTGGTCTCTCAACTCATTGAATGCAGAAGCAGGTAGGAGAAATCACCCATTGTCTATTAAGCAAGATATAAAAGAGATTTGCAAAAGTGTAAAACAGTGCCACTCTTCTAATTTTATTTTTGTCTCTTTTAAATGATTTTCCTTTCACACAATTTATTTTTCATTAAAATGTTAGCTCATATCACTTGGTTATATCCCAGTCCAGGAAAATAGGTGTCTCCTAGCCTTTTTATGTATGACTAACAGGACAAACTAGTGATTCTATACAAGACCACAAAGTCTCAAAGTTAATCTTCAATACAATTGGCTGCTTTACTAGATTATAAAATAAATATGACTATGCATTTACTATGTAAATAAATTTTTTAATATTATGAATTCTTCTACCCTAAGGAATTCACAATAGTCATAGAGATCTACAATAATCATAAATATCTAGGTCTATTGCTTAAATATTGGAATGTCTTAAAATCTGGTAATCTCATCTACTTCCATGAATCCACCTGCCACCACAGCATCAATGATAACCCAAATGTCATCTCCAGCTCTGCCTTTTCTTGGCGTTTTATAATAGTAATTCCGAAATACACAAAGCTCTTCAATCTCAATCAATAAAGGCAATCAAAATACTAGCTATTATACATATTATTGTTGAAATTTTCAAGAGAACGTCAATTTACACTTGCCCAATTTGTTGATCAAATCTGCCCTTTCTATTCCATTATATATTTCTGTTATTTTGGACCATCATTTAGCAATGAAACAACTTGGTACCAAGAATCCTTTTTCTTCCCCAACACCTTCATCCATTGAATCGCTGAATCCTGTGGACTCTCAGACTCTAAATACCTCTAGCATTTTTCTCCCTTCTCTTCATTCCCAGGGCCAGCAGCCTAGCTTTTAATATGCTTTTAATTACTTTTTCTTGGATTACTGGGAATAAGCACTCTTTTAGGGGAACAAATGTGATTATGGCACTCACCTGCTTAAAATACTTTAATGGCTCCCAACTACTAGATAATATGGAATGTTCTTTTAAAAACCTTATTTTTATTTTTTGAGACAAGGTCTCTCTCTGTTGCCCAAGTTAGAGTGCAGTGGTGAAATCACGGGTCATTGCAGCCTTGATCTCCTGGGCTCAAGCAATTCTCCCTCCTCAGCCTCCCAAGTTGCTGGGATTACATGCATGTGCCACCACACCTGGCTAATTTTTGTATTTTTTTTTAAATAGAGATGGGATTTCACCATATTTCCCAGGCTGGCCTTGAACTCCTGAGCTCAAGCAGTCTGCCTTCCTCAGCCTCCCAAACTGCTGGGATTATAGGCATGCACTACTGCATCTGGACATAGAATTTTCCTAATATGTTATTCAAGAATTCCCTTAATGTGGTCCTTACCTACCTTTTCTGATATGAATATCACCTCTCCTATCATGTACCAGGCTATTTAATGACTTTGCACATGCAGTTCCTTCTGTCTAAAATTCACCTTTTTCCTTTGTGAGTCTGGCAAAGAACTACTAAGTAGTTAAACTTCAACTCAGTAATCACACAGTCTTTTAACAAATCCTTGAAATCTGGTCAAAATTAACCACTTCCTTTCAGTTTTCTAATATAGCACTTACCTCATTTCTGTAATATTTGATTTTCTTCTCCGTTGATAGAAAATAAGCTTGTAACAGAGAGTTTTATTCAGATTTTATGTTAATGGCATTGATTTGGTGCTTAGTAACTATTAAGAAGGCATAATGGCAAAGATTATGGCCATACCAAACATAAAGTTTAACTCAATCTTGGTTTATTTATTTACACCACTTTCCCCAAGTGGATTTTTAAGAAGGTTCATGAAAACAACAAACAGAATAGGAAGAAAGATATAAACTAAGACAAATTAGAAAATAGATTGTCATCTTGTGTGACAAGAGTAGGGTACTGTGAGAGATGTAAAGGAAAGAGGATGCTTCAAGGTGGAGAGATTAGCAGTCAATTTATGCTGAATTCAGAGAAGATAAAAACGTCTATTGGATGAAATAATCAGGCCACATAGTTTCCTATGATGAAGCAGTTTAAGTAAAGAAATAGGAAAAAATCCATCTCAAGGGATTAACAAACTACTGGGTGCTGAGAAATATAAGTGACAAGTACACACACACACACACACACACACACACACACACACACACACACACAAAACACAGAAATTACTGCATCATGAGGGTGGAAAATCAATTTTGTCCATAGAGGTCATCACAAATATTCATAATTTTTATAGGGCTTAACAGTGAGTCCTAACGTCAAATATTCCTGAATGCTAATCCTAAAACTTTCTAATTTATAGACTTTTCTTACTCTTAACCAATCAGCAAGCCATCATAACTACATGATTTTTACAAATTGTTTTTAACTAATTCTATTCCCAAAAAGTAACTGTGTACCTGTTGTTCTGAGAAGCATCAGGAAAGGAAGAAATTAAGGGCTATGCCACTGATAACAGTTTTATAGGATAAATAAGTGGCAATAGAGAAATTAGGAATAGCTTTAAGATACCAGTAGCAATGCTACCTTTGACATGACTCCAAAAAATAAAACGTATGCTTTCTTCCAAAAATAACAATAGTAATAATAACACTAATAGATAAAATTCAGTGAATTCATCTGTCCTAAAAATTATTTTTTATTTAATCTTAACAACATATTACATAGTAGATTCTATTAACTCATTTTACAGAAAAGCAAACTGAAGCTTAGAGACTGGAGTCAAAGCCCTCTTCTTTATAACATACATGTCTTCTCTGAATGGGCCTTTGTTTAACAAGAATCTTCAACTCAACTGATCAGAAAGACTCAGAAAAGAAAAGCTAGACTGATAAAATAGTGTTTTATGCATACACATGCATGAAAACACAACATGCATACATGCTAAACTCTGGTCATCAATACTGCAAGAGCAATAAAGCCAGGAGAATGAAGTTAACTTTTATTTTTCATTTGTCTTCTAGATTTTTATATATAGTGTTTTTTTCAGGATCCTTATAAAATAAATAGTTTAACATCCAAATGCTGGTTCTACACAAGGAAAGAGAAATATGCAAATAAGTATTAGGCTTTAAAAATGTGTTTATTATTTGAATAAAGTGAATATTCAGTTTAAGACTAAAGTATCTGAAACATTGTGAAACTTGCATGCATGGACAAATATGAACTGAGTGCTTCCTTTCCCAGATTTTTAAATCTTTCAGCTAGATTTTTTTTAAATGATTGTTTTCATAGATTATTTAACTCATTTTAGGGCTTTCAGGTCAAGGTTTACAGGACTTGTCCTTGATATAGAGACAACAGAAGGAAAGCTATTAAATATTTAATGGAGTCAGAAAATACTACATTTAATATTCTCTTGAGCTTGCACAGTGCTGACTTAGAAGGAAATCCAAAGTGCCTCGTTTTCACATGTAGAATCTTAAAAATGCAGTTAGTAAATCATCCTCTAAAATGACATCCACAGCTTCAATGACTACATTCTTAAAAGTAAAATATTTCTTTTAAAATATGTGCTGAAAGCTCTTTGTTAATTGGAAAAAAGACAGCTATGGATTGTTCTTCGAGATGTTATTCATGTCCTATTTTTATCACCTTACTTTATCTTTTTAAAATTTCAACCATTAGGCAAGAGCCAGAATTATATATAGGCTTCATTTTTTTTTATTCTGCTTTGTCATTTCTGTTTTGCTATGTTTGGGTAAGGAGTGAATTTTAGAGATACCAAGCAAATCAGCCATATAAGGATCTTTAATAGATATTGTACATCCAACATTATTTGTTGATTTTCATTTTACATATGTAAAAATTTCCTTTAAACAGAGTTAAAATGTTCAACTCCTATGTTGAGTCTTGGATTGAATCAATAATAATCAATCAATACTCAACATATGATTCAATGATAAATGTTAAACTCACATGTTAAACTTGGATTGAATTGATTCAATCCAAGACTCAACATGTGAGTTAAAGATTTATTCAAATGCCAAATTATTAGCCTTCCCAGAGAAACTGCCTGCCTTATCTCACCCCGGAAAAGCCATTATTCTACATATAAAAAAGGTTTTCAATGTCCAGAAATGAGAGAAGCAGGGCAGTGATTGGTGGTGTTAGCAGTGTGTTGAGGGTGATGGTGGGGGAGAGCTGAATAGGCAGAATTTACTAGAGGACAGACAATAGGTTGTCATTTTGGGAACTAAATTACCTCAAGTACTTCATTCAATAAACAGTTAATGACAATGTTGGTAGTAAACTCAATAAAGTGTTTGAGATCTTTAAGTTTCTTCTTATACATTTTGGTAGCAAAATATGCATATGAACCAGAGACAGGACAAATCCTTTTATAATTTCTGATGAACATGTTTAGGCAAGTAAGAAGCAGATGAGAAAAATAAGATGCAAAGACAAGACTGCTCAAGCATGCCAGCACTTCCTTACCTTGCTAATGTGTTAACTTTCACAATCAATTATTATTTTTCTCAACAAATTATTCACATTAACTTGGATGATTTTAAAACTTTACCACAAAAAATCAGGTAATTTTCCCTTTGTTGGTGTTACAAAAATGATTTCTTAGCCATAAATGACAAAAATGAGAATACAATGAAAAGATGCTGATTTTCATTGGGTTTGAAAATTGATTTTGTTTCTAAAATCAGACTCCTCCCAAATAGATGAGTACTGAAAAGCAAAAGTTAACACACATGTCATGTAATCTCAATTAAGTTCTATTTTAAAACACTTTTTATTAGCTACTTTATTCTTTTATTCCCTTGCTACACTACTCTAAGTTGCTATAAAATATTATTATAATCTCTCTTATTTGACTCTACAAAATTCTAAAGCCAAAATCTCCCCACATATTGGATAAATATTATCACCTCCCTATAACACCTTCTATCTTTCATGATGTAAGTCCATGTTATCAATGTGATTGTTTTAATACAGTGTTCTAATTTTTCTTTAAATAATTACAAATTTTTACTTCCTTGGATTACAAGGCTGAGTATAATGAATTCTGTTGATCAGCAAGTATACAGGGTCCAATAATTGTGGCAGGAAGACTGAATAAATATTTCTCTAAATCACGTGGATTATAGAGAAGAACAAAAATTGCATACTAATTATTTGTTGGTATTGTTATTAGAAGACAAATTTAAGTTTCTTCCCACTTAACTTTTGTTCTGAAATTGTCAGCAGTGGCAAATGTTTTTAACAAGAATGGATGCTTTCAAAGGTTGACATTGAAATGACAGTAGTCATTATGCTAAAAAAGGTCATGTCCAAGCTTATTTCTTATGAGAGAGTATGTTGTTTTTAACTTTAAATTTGATCAGAAAATATTTTCTTTTTATTGTTTCGAATACTTGGATTTTGTGAATTTAACTCAATTAAAGTATAACGTTTACAACTGTTACTTCAAGAAAAATCGTTTAGTATGCTTTATTTGAAACTTTAGAGTGTACATATACATTCTACTACATATGTGTGTGTGTAGCATAGCACCAACAAATATTATATAAAGATTATACAAAACTTCTATAAAAGTTATGAAACTGTGACTATATTTCTCCCAAATAATATAGGCAACTAAATAGGTGGAAGGAGAAACAAGTATCAGTGAATTTCTTTATTATTTGATGGTCCATAATCTTTATTTACTAATTTGGTTTCCTTATAAGTTAGCATTAACATTATAAAAACAGAAATAAAAAATTAAATATGATTATCAGTCCTTGAAAAATGGATTTCAAGGGTAACACAAGACAGAATCACTGGGATTCAATGAATCACATAGTGGAGACTCAAACAATCACAACAATTATTCATTCAGTTTCTTCAAAAGACCCCTAACAGCAGTGAGTATGTAGTCATTTGGTGTATTGGTATGCCTCAAATAAAATGTCAGTTTTATCTAATTTTAACATCACTTTGAAATTAATAAACATGATTTTTAACTTAGAGTTAAATGTTCATAACTTTTATAAAAGTAATTAGAATACAGTCTGTGCTGGATAATGATATTTCAGTCAATAATGGATCGTATATACCATAGTGTTGTCATGAGATTATAAAACCATGTTTTTAACTGTACCTTTTCTATGTTTAGATATTCTTAGACACGCAATACTTACCATTGTGTTACAATTGCCTACAGTATTCAATACAATAACATGTTGTACAGGTTTGTAGCTTAAAAGGATTAGGCTAGACCATATAGCCTAGAAGTGTAGTAGGCAATGCCACCTAGGTTTATGTGAGTACACTCTGGGGTGTTCACACATAACAACAATGAAATTACCTAATGGTGCATTTCTCAAACCCTATCCCTGTTGTTAAGCAATACATGACTGCATTACAAATATTTATAATATTGCCAGTTATTATTAGTTTTCTCTAAAATTTTAATTTTCTAACTGCTTAAAGACAGCATTCAGTATGATCCGGCTTCCCTTGACTTTCTTAAGTAAAATTACATTCATATTTTGAATTTGCTACACATCCAATTTGTACCACTAAAAAAATGTAAAATGTACTATCAAAACTTCATCTAGAGAGACAAAATATCAAATATACGTCTATTAAAATTTAGACATTCTTCTTCTTTTATAGAAGTAGAATAATTCAAGAACACCTAAATTTATGATAGCAATATTTTTCACCGTCTTCTTTATCATTTTCTGATTATTTCATTTATTTAGCACTATTTTTTATAATTATCCAATGTTCACAGTGTCACAATAAAATTTTCTTTTTGCTTTGTTATGTTCTGCTCAAATTTTATTATATCATTTCTAATAGATTCAAAGTTTATATTTTTTACAAACACTCAAAGCTTGAGCTATACAAAGTGCTCCTTGCAGCATTGGAAGTAATATTAAGGATTTCAAATACAGCAGGTCACTTATATATTTGGTTTATATGGATGTCACTATCTATGACTAAATTAAAGTTTCCTAGATAATTTAAACCTTTTGGCTATAATTGCTGTTCATCTGAAAAAAATCATTTGCTTTTAAAAATAAAAGATTTTGATAATAGCTAAATCAATCAACTTAACTTCTGTTAATTTTACTGAGATGAATAGCACTTTCCTACTACTGGGATGATGTAGATATATTTCATGGGCTAAACTTAAACCAGTTTTCTTTCATCTTAAGTAATCCATTCAGCTTTTAATAAACAAAATTTAAATACTAATTTCAAGAGATCCAATACACTTTTAGCCTGGAATTTGTAAATTCTTGTTCTTACTAATGAATTACAAATAAATAAAGAATTTCAACATTTAACAAGACGTGGTTTTAAAGTGATAATTGTTACCTTAAATATACTGAATAAATGTATTCCAACTGTGTTTGATTTATAACAAATTAGTAGAAAAGGAAATTTTAGATCTGTAAAATAATGTTTTAAATCATTTAATCTAATGCTTTCAATTTGGGGATAACAAAAAAGCTTAGGTGGGCATGGTGGCTCACGTCTGTAGTCCCAGCATTTTGGGAGGCCAAGGCAGGCAGATTACATGAGTCCAGGAGTTCGAGACCAGCCTGGGCTACATGGAAAAACCCTGTTTCTACAAAAAATAGAAAATTAGCCAGCCGTGGTGGCATGCATCTGTAGTTCCAGCTACTCAGGAGGCAGAAGTGGGAGGATCTCTTGAGCCTGGGAGTTTGAGGCTACAGTGAGCAGTGATTGAGCCACTGCATTCCAGTCTGGGTGACAGAGGAAACCCTGTCTCAAAACAAAAAAACAAAAATAACTGAAAAACAAATAAACAAAAAAAGCCTAAGAAGTTAGGTCACGTGTTTAGAGTTGCCTTTATAGTTTGTGGCAAAGTCTCTAATTCACCATGGAATTCATATGCAGTTCTTCCTAAAATTTTACAAACAAGTAGATAGATCAATTATAATACATTATAGTGTATTAATTCATGTTTAAAAAATTCATTGTACATATATTCAACCAACACTTATTGAATACCCATGATAGACCAGTGAACATGACAGATATGAACAGTCCTATGAGAATGAAGAGACAAGAATATGAGTTCTTCCTGGGGGAATATGGAAAGGCTTCTCTGTGGAGGAGATATTGAACTCTACTTACTTTTTAAAAAGGCTTCCCTGACTCTCTTCTACATGGCTTGCTGTGTTTGAAGAAAAATAATATCCAAAATCTTCTATGGCAGCACTGAAAATGGGTTTTACCCTTTAACTACCTGCTCTAAGTGTAGAAAAGTCTTAAAAAGTATTAATATGGAGAATGTGTTCAAGAGCAGTAGCTCCTCTCGCTGTAACTCCCTAATGATGTCAGTGTTTACCTGCCTCCTTCTGTTTTCATAATATATTATTAATTTGTCAAAGTGTATCACATTCTCTATTCCCCCACTCCTTACAGACTATGAACTCTTAGGGCAAAAAAAAAACATACTTTTTTTATGTTCTCCGTCTTGTGCATGTAGAAGTCCCCTTATAAAACTTTACTTGAACTAAAGTAAACTGCGTTTTTTGGAATGATCATGGAGTTTATCTTTTAGGCAAAGATACTGTGAAAACAACTTTCCAGGGAAGGAAACATTTGTAAAAGGTACAGTGTTGTAAAAGACTCTAATGAATCAATCTGGGGAAAAGCTTGACAAATATGCACATCTGGAGGGATAGACCCAGATGTGGAAAGCAGGAGCATGCTGCTTGTGTAGTTAGTGATGAGTGTGGTGTTGAGTCCAAATTGGGAATGGCCACCAATGCCATAATAACTACTGAGTAAACACAGTGTTCTGACCACCACAGGTATCCAAGGGCTATTTTAAGTGGGGCAGTGACAAAATCGGTCTATGTTTTTGTATACGTTTTAATGAGACGAAAGGACTTTGGGGAGAAAAGACTAAATAGAATATCTCAATCAGCGAAGCAAGAGAAGACAAGGGCAAGAGTCAAAGCAGTGGCAGCAGCCATCAGGATGGAGAGAGGAAACAGATTCAAGACACATTTCTGAGGTAAAACAGACACTGTGTGTGGCTATGTTGTGTACATAATTATTTAAGTAGGTTAATAATTTATACAAAGTAGAAGGTAGAAATGACAAAAAGTAAAGCTACATAAACAAATTAAAGGTGTCTTATTCCTATAGGAATTGTCTACTGACAAAAAGATCATATTTGGACTGATAAAAAGCTTAATTTCCAGGAACATTAAAAAAGGGATTTGAGGAGTTGATTACAATTAACAGTTGCAAATATCAGGGGAATGTCAAAGAGAACTTAAAATAGGTCTTTGGGTTTGGAAAATGGGAAGTAATCAATGACCAGATGAAATTCCTTTCATGAGACTGTTGAGCCCAGAACCAAACTGTGATAGGTTCAGGAATGACCAGGGTAGAGGAAAGGAGGACTAACTGTTCTTTACAAGTTTTACCATAACATCAGGACAAATTCAAGGCAAAGTCTTAAGGGGGGTTACGATAGAAGGAAGGTCTGTTGTCATTGCTTGGTTTTTGCTCCTCTTTCAGCAGAAGATATTTGAGTATGTTCATGGTAGAAGGAAAGAAGTCATTGGAA
Organism: Homo sapiens; assembly: GCF_000001405.40. Lineage (NCBI taxonomy): Eukaryota > Metazoa > Chordata > Mammalia > Primates > Hominidae > Homo > Homo sapiens. Next base: position 75,069,019 of record NC_000012.12, read on the forward strand.
AAGGAGAGTTTGAAGATACAAGAGAAAACACACATATGTGAAAATACCTTAAACATAGCTAAAACAGAAACATGGCACAGGACTAAAAAACAGTTTCAATTTTATATAATCTTTTTTTTTTTTTTTTTTTTTTGAGACGGAATTTCACTCTTGTTGTCCAGGCTGGAGTGCAAAGACGTGATCTCGGCTCACCGCAACCTCCACCTCCAAGGTTCAAGCGATTCTCCTGCCTCAGCTTCCCAAGTAGCTGGGATTACAGGCATGCGCCACCACGCCCAGCTAATTTTGTATTTTTTTAGTAGAGATGGGATTTCTCCATGTTGGTCAGGCTGGTCTCGAACTCCCGACCTCAGGTGATCCGCCCGCCTCAGCCTCCCAAAGTGCTGGGATTACAGGTGTGATCCACCGTGCTCGGCCTCAATGTTATATAATCTTAAAGTCAAAACAATTTTCATCTCAAACATAGCATGCTGCTTCCATTGATTCATTCCGGCAGACTAAGATTTCACCATACGATATGGCTCTTACAGAATCATTTCAGTAGACAAATTTTGGTGGTTTATAGAGATCTTACTCCAGTTATTTCTATCTAAGCATAACTGAGCTCAATTAACTATTTTGTATTACCTTAAAAGAAGGAAAGAAAGTCCTTTACTGGGTATATCAAGAAAAGGAAAGCATGCCCTTCCTCACCTTCAACCTCTGAGTAGAAGCTTCTTGCAGATCTAAGCATACAAACTTTGGGGATAAGTGAAGCTTTAATTTGATGCAGAGTTAATATTGTCCCCATGCCCCAGCTACACTGTTTTCACCTTTCCTATGCTAGGGAGACCCAGGGAAGTAAGTTTGAGTCTCAGAGGGTCAACTTACTATGTAGTAAAGCCTATTTCACTAGCTCCATCTGTACATCATCATCGAAACAAATCAGAAACCAATTAACAGGATCGAATTGGCTCCTCTGCAACAAATGTCATGAAAAGTGGGAGATTTATCTCTCTGGTTCCTTTACTTGTGCATAGAAATGTGGATGTTAACAATCATCAGCTAAGCTATTTGAGCTAACTTAAGAAAATGCACTTAATGAATAAAAGAATATTGATAAATGAGAATATTTTTCTGCCTAGTTTGTGTTGACCAGTGCAAGAAATATTTTGTGATCCATATTTAGGTACAAGATAGTCACTTTTTTGGGAAGCCGAGGCAGGCGGATTGCTTGAGGTCAGGAGTTCAAGACCAGTCTGGCCAACATGGTGAAACCCCATCTCTACTAAAAATACAAAAAATTAGCCAGTCATGGTGGTGCCTGTCTGTAATCCCAGCTACTGGGGAGGCTGAGGCAGGAGAATCACTTGAACCCAGGAGGCCGAGGTTGCAGTGAGCCGAGATTGCACCATTGCACTCCAGCTTGGGCAACAAGAACAAAACTCCATCTCAAAAAAAAAAAAAAGTCACTTTTTATACTCTAAGCATAATATTAAAAAAATGCAAAGGTAAATTATTTCAAGGAAAATTAAATAACAGTATGTAGAAAGAAAACTTCCCACATTGTCTGACACCTGCATTGCCATTTCATCTCCATTCTTAGGTTGAGATAAAAACAGAACTTTAAAAAAATATATATATACTCTCAAATACATTTACTACAAAATGATATTTTATAAACATATAAATGCATTATTAATATATTTTATTTATATTCACCCTTTATAAAATTTATATCTTTTTAGTTTAGAGACACTAACTTTATAAATTGTAAATATTTATTAGGACAGCATTTGTGGGAAATAAAGAGTACAAATATTTCGATAAACTATTTTTTAGAATAAGATGTTAATTCATACACATAGGACATATACATGTAGAAGAAAAAATTGCACATTAAAAATACATTCTTTTAAAATTAATAGTCCATATTCTTAATGGCAGACATATTTTTCACATTAAATCTTTTATTTATCTTGCTCAGTTTTTTATTTTTATTTTTCTCATTATTTTCATGTACCTATTACTTTTTTTGGTATAGTAGAAAGTATATTTTGCAGGATTGGCGTTGAAGCATATCTTCACCATTTGCTATATGTGTAATTCTGGACAATTTACTTGGTCTATTTGTGTCCCACATTAAGGACAGAGATAATGGAACTCTTTATATAGTTACTCTTTGATTCTCAAAAATGACCTGATGTATGCAAAAGGCATTACATAATGCCAGCGTCTCTTGTAGCATTAAAGACGGCTTGGTAGCAATTAAAAAAAACCCTACATGACAGCCTTACTTATTTATTGAAGATAAATCTTATGTTTCATCTCTCCTTCTTAGACATACCAGCTTCACGAATAAAGGGGTATCCTAAAAATATTGGGAATTTTGTTTTTCACAATCTTTAATGTAGGCAATTCAGGAGGAAACCCAACACATTATTTGTAATCTTAAATGGTTGTGTACAGCTTATACTTATTGATAATTATCCTATATCCCTATGCATATTATAAGTTTTCAACGAATTTGAGAATAATAAACTATGCTTTCTACTAAAACTGTACCCCACCCAATAAAATTTTTCTGATTTGGCAGACATTTCATAATAATGTAATTCCACAAGGCCACTATCATGAAGAACAACTAACTCTTGACGGAAGAATTAACTCTTGGCCAGACGCGGTGGCTCACGCCTGTAATCCCAGCACTTTGGGAGGCCAAGGCGGGCGGATCACGAGGTCAGGAGTTTGAGACCAGCCTGACCAACGTCTCTAGTAAAAACACAAAAATTAGCCAGGTTTGGTGGCACGCACCTGTAATCCCAGCTACTGAGGAGGCTGAGGCAGGAGAATCGCTTGAACCCAGGGAGGCAGAGGTTGCAGTGAGCTGAGATCACGCCACTGCACTCTAGCCTGGGCGACAGAGCGAGACTCCTTCTCAAAAAAAAAAAAAAAAAAAAAAAAAAAGAGTTAACTCTTCATAAAAGCGAGAGTGAGCTAATAGAATGCCAGATACAGAAAATCTGTTTATAGAAATCACTCAGTATGCAAGTTCAAATGCAAGTGTTCATCAATATAGAGTCAATTTGATATATGTAATTATGCTGACATAGAATCAATATGTTATGGAGCTAGATGTGAAGTTTTACAAAGCTCTCTTTGTCTTTCTGATGCTGCCTGTGTTGCCTGCCATTGTAGCTGTTCATAGCTGTTACTAAACGGCTAACCATTTAATCAAAAGGGAGAAGAACTAAAGTCGCCTTGACAGTTTTGAGCACTGTGTGAAGACAAATGTGATATCTAATTTGATTCAATTAAGGTTTAAAAAGATGCTAATCTCTGGTAAGTAAATCTAATACAGGTTATTCAAACTGTTAGTTAAGGAAATTTAAAAAAAATACATTGAAAGGAAGGGAATATTTTATCTTCAATTATTTAAAAAAATTATACTTTAGAAATATGTCTCAGACCTTTCAGGGAGTCCTGTCATTAAATATTGTGTTACAGATGCTTAATCTTTCTATGTAACTGAAGTCTTAAAAACACATAACATTTGAGAAAGTCAAAGATATTAAATATTAGAATATTTCAAAGAAAAAATAGAAAAAAAGAAAAAGAAAAATCAAGTAAGTCCCATATAAAAAAAAAGGTCACTTAGTATTAACTTTTCAGGAGCTCTTTTATGGACCTCAAAACATTCTACAGAACTTGCTGAGTGCCTGGGAATGACAGTCTTAACTTGCATTTTTCTTTCTCTTGTCAGTTTAAATCAGACATTTAATGCTATTTCAGTAAAGGTTCTTGAACTAAAGATCTTAAAAGGCCTTCGATCTGACATGATTTTAAGACATAAATCTGTCAAAATTGCCAAATAAATATAACTTGCCAACTATTATGGGATTTAGGCTCTCTTGATAAGACAGTTTTCACTGAAGTGGGCAAAATGGTGCCCATTCAAAGCAATAGGAATACATCCCTTATTATGGAAATGTCTATTTATGTCCAAAAAAAACCCAAATCTGATCTAAACTGAAGCAAACTAAATTGAGAATTGCAGAACTCATTCCCAGGCTTCATAATTCTGCATGGATTGTTTATCTGTTGAGGCCTGATATTCTTTCACCATAAAAGAGCTACTGCCATTTCTTTGATTATTCAGTCTAAGTGTATAATGTCTGTATGACTTTCTAAGTTGTTCTGAAACAAATGTTATCATGCCGGAATAACAATAATATTGATAATAATGTATAGCATTCAGTTCTTTTTAAAATAAACTTAATTCTCAAATAACTTATTGGTTGGCTAACTTCTGCTAAGAGGAACTTTTGATTGTTAAGTGGGAAATACAGCAAAAAGCCTTTCAAAGTAAAAGCAACTTTCAGTACCAATTTATGAAGCCAGTTTTCTTTGTAATTTTGTATCTTCTCACTTCTTGAGATAGGTAAGATTTCCAAAAAATTAAACCAAAGAAATAACTCAATGAAGAGGCATCAACATGTTTAATAAAAACTTCTTCTATACAGTTGCAATATTATACTAGAAGACAGTATTTTGGATATTTTGTTTGTTTTCTTGCTTAAAATATTCTGCACAATTTGAAAGACTGCACTTAAGTTTAGGAGGCTGTGAATTATTCATATAAACTATGTGCAATTAAGATATCTGCTTCGTAGGGGAAGAATATAAAATAAAATACAGAGATAGATGATTTTTGAATGTGTTTGTTGAATAAGCCATGGAAGTGATTTAAAATTCTACAGATCACATAAATTTATGGGCTATCTGATTCTAGGTAGTAATTATCATTCCTATATTGCCATGTCTCTCAATTTATAATTTTTAACTCAATGAATCCAAATAAAACTAGATATATATTTAACCTAATTAAAGTTGCTGCTTTGTACTGAAGTTCTCCCTAAATATGCTGGAAAAGTGACTTTTCCTTCTGTCAGTTCCACGTACAGTAGCACTTGATCATCACTTGATCATTCTCTTTTATGCCTTTGCCTATTGTCTGCCTATTGAAATTATAAACATTTTGAGAGGAAAAGTTGTGTCATAAAAAGAATAATAAATAAAAAGTAGATTTAGAGTTTAAAATGATGGTTGGTTTTAGGATTGTCTTAAGAGCATGTTAAGTAAAAAAAAGGAAAATATTCTATTACAGTACTAGTCAGAGGAAAAATAAGTAGGAGGTCTGCAAGCTAGGAAAGAAGATCTAAGACTACTCATAGATTTTTTTTTTTTTTTTTTTTTTTGGCCATTTGGGTAAAGTTGCTGTTGAAATTCTGCAAAACTCACCAGTGGCCTATTTCCCAAGGAGAAAGTCTAGAGGAGTCCATGGCCAGATTTGAGACCCATGCAGTGAAGAGGGTAGAAGAAAACGGTCAAAGTTTGTGTACTCCTCTTAGGATGCTCATTCTGATGTCCAAAACTGTGTAAAATTTCTGCTACCTGATCAATTCTACTTTCCTTGCCCTTTTAGAAATTTAACATCATATCAAGTTTCCTCAAAGCAAAAACTGCATTAACTTTGACAGTTTTAGCCTCACTTAGACATTTAGTCTTGATCTGTCACTGAAGTCTTGGCTTCTTGGCCCCCGCATGTAATTCAGTGGTTGGACATGATCTTAGAGACCACTTTCAAGATTAAAAATATAAACCTGGCCTAAAAACTGAGCTTTGCTCAGCTCTCATTTATTTCATACATATTTATTATACATCTACTGTGTTCCAAACATTATATGATACTGAGATGGCAAAGATGAATCTAACTTATTCCCTTGCCTCAAAAACACCTGAAGTGCTGGACAAGAGAGGCAAGTAAGTGAATGCTATAACAGTGTAATAAGTGTTGTGTTAGAGAAACACAATGTGCCTATGAAAACACAGAAAGAGGCTTATCTAACTAAACGGGAGGAAGAGCTTACTTGAATCAAACTTCAGATTATAGAAGTACGAAAGTTTTCCCGGAATAAAGAAAGTGGAAAAGGGACAGAAATATGAAACAGCAAGATGTGTTGCATTATCAGATGAAAGTTTCATGTGGAGAAGTAGAGGAATGTGAGTCTAGAAAAATTAGACAAAAATAATTTAAAAACCTCAATGTTAACCTGTAGACCGTGAACTTTATCCTTAAAAACAATATTGGAAGTCTGTGCAAGAAAGTGATGGGGTCAAATCTATATTTCAGAATTCTATTAAAATGTGAAATAGCTATACATCATCATTTTTAAAAAACTTAATCTTGTTTTATCCATTTATCATAACTCAGATCCCACCAGGCCAATGTTGATGGTTACATTTTACTCCAATCAAGAGATGCCATGATTCCTTTTTGCATTATCCCTTCAGAAAAAAAATACCCCTTAAGGAGCTGAATAATCTCCTTACTACTTTGGGGAAAAGTTGAATGTCTCCAAATATTAAATCCAATTCTCAGGAGAGAAATATATATATACATATATATATATATATATATATATACACATATATATATATAAATAACATTGCTACAGCATGTTACCTTCTAATCTGATGATTGAAAACGAATTAGTGGAAGCCCCTTGAGAAGATAATTACATAGTTATTCTTGAATCTGTGGGGGTTGCGTAGAAGGCAGATGACATGGTCATATTATTTTTTTCTAGAATCTTAGAACCTTGGACTTAAGTATTGAACCTTCTGACTTAATAGTTTATAAATAAATGCAATCATAGCTGTATTCCTCCTCTAAATAAAAGAAACTATACATCATTACTCATGGTAGCTACTCAATAAGTGTATCTGGAAAGAAGGTGTAGGATCTTTTCAAGATATTGTTTTACAATGCCTCCTTTAGAATGGACCTGAATAAATTCATAAATTCCTATCTCCACCTGCCTTAAGAAAGATAATACTTCTGTTTAATTTGGCAAATGACCTATTCTGAACTACAAAAACAATGGTAAAGTCTCCTAATGATCAAACTATTGGTCCAAAGATTTTTCAAATGGAAATGTTGTATACATATCTTGGCTTAATGCCTTATTAATGTTACATACACACACACACACACACACACACACACACACACACACACACGCTTACAAACAAACCGAAAAGAATACCAGAGTAATTTTATGAAAGCCACACAAATAGAAGGCCTGGTACTCATTTAAACATTTTGAGTTCTACTAACTTACAGCAGACTTAAGAATATCAAAATGTATAACTTATGCCAGAATTTGTTCTTGAACAGTGCCAGAACATCTTTATTTTATTTTATTATTTTATTTAATTAATTAATTTATTTATTTTCTGAGACTGAGTCTCGCTTTGTCGCCCATGCAGTAGCGCGATCTCGACTCACTGCAAGCTCCGCCTCGCGGGTTCACGCCATTCTCCTGCCTCAGCCTCCAGAGTAGCTGGGACTAGAGGCGCCCGCTACCACGCCCGGCTAATTTTTTTTATTTTTAGTAGAGATAGGTTTTCACCATGTTAGCCAGGATGGTCTCGATTTCCTGACCTCGTGATCCGCCCGCCTCGGCCTCCCAAAGTGCTGGGATTACAGGCGTGAGCCACCGCGCCTGGCCTCAGAACCTCTTTATATAGTCAGTTTTCAATCAACTTACATGTCTTTATAATAAATAGTACCATTATTATTAGGTATTGTCAATAAGATGCTTTACTTATGATTCTCCTCTAGAATATTAGATTCTTGATACGTATTTATTTCAATAGCCCCAATACACACTACTGTATTTTCTGCAGGCAAGTTGTTGCCTTGCTAAATGTTACTTTCAGTATCTTGGTTTTCAGTTAAATATATCTATCTCTATCTATACAAATATTTTATAAGAATTATTAATTGGGTGTTAATAAAGTTTGGGAACATCTTTTCTGGTTGAAAATATTTCTAAATGTAATCTAGTCAATGGAGAAAACAGTCAACTTACAAAAATTTTAGTTTCAGCAACTTTTAGTAGTAGATTATTTGTTGTTTGTTTTCTAAAAAATCTTATTGTGTGTATTTCCAGTTTAAAACATTATGTTATGGGATTCATACAGCTAATCAATGGTTACTACAGTAAAGCAGATTAACATATTCAACATCTCACATAGTTGCTTTTTGAGGGAACAAGAGCAACTAAAATCTATTTATTTAACAATATTCCCTAATACAAGATAATTTCATTAAGTTTAGTCCTCATGTACACCACGAGGACTAGCATTGCCAGTGCTAGAGTTGTATGAGCATTTTCTGGGGGAAAAATCACTTTTGGCATTATTACTTAAATAAGAATACAACCACTTCTATCTGGAAAACCTCATTAAAATCCAGTCAATTTTATAAAATTTAATAAACTCCTATTTTTATGGTTCTGAATGACTCATACAATAATTACGTTCCACACATGGTCATTTCAGTAATATAACTTCACAGGCTGTCTGTGCAAATTTTGGTTTGTTTCCTAATGGGATATTTCACAGTTCCTCAAAACCATAATTGAGAAAAACAAGGTAAAGTATCTGATACAAATCATTTCTTGGCATTACTCATTTTTAATTATTTATTTGGTCCAGGATAACTTGAAAGGGCAAAATTTTTCTCTCTTCTAAAGGACTCCAAGATATACCTTTATTTGTAGCTATAGATCTGTCCATTATCTTAAAATAAACTTGATGACCATAAGAATCTTAGAAGAGAGACCTAAGCAATGTAGGACCTATTCAGTGAGTAATGTCCTTTGTTAGAACACCTAAGTTACGATAGCGTAAAACCTCCAATGTATGTTATACAGAGATACAGTTAAGGGGCAAATGAGTTCATTCTCACTTTGTCTAGTAACTCTGACAAGAAAGGAAGAGGAAGAGAAAGTTTAGAAGTAGAAACACATGGTATACAGGCATCCCAAAAGGAGAGTGGTATTGAAAAAAAACCCTAAATATTACATATTTAGTCATTCTGAGTTCTACCAGGAAATCCATAGTTATTATTGTCACATTTCCCTTTCTACCTCAGGACTCAAATTCTCGGGATATATTCTTTTGTCATTTGTTTTTGTGCTTTGTGTTATTACTCTTATACCTCCATTATCGTGTGAATATTTTTAATAAAATAAAATATATTCAGCTTTTCCTGGGTACCTTGTTTATAATATGAATTAGAAATATTGGTCAAAAGACACCATAACTATAAATAAGTGCAAAGAGAAGGTCCAAATGAAAACTGAAAAAAATGCTGTGTGTGTTTCTTCAAGGTGACAGAAGACCAGAGTGGTACTAGGAGACCAGCCCCGGTGGGACGGCACTGTGTTATGACTCAGGGTTTCAGGATACATCTTTATAAAGTAGTTTAACTTCCACCTTTCCTCAAACTCATGTGTTTCAACATTCAGTTTGATATTTTCATGTAAGTCCATCTTCTGTAATTATAATGACTGTCAAGGAAATGTAGTACAGGAGTAGAGAATAAAGAAAGAGTTGTTGAATAGAATAGCTCTTTCCTTCAGTATTATGTCTTCTCCATCATAATAGTCAACATTTATAGGGAGGCCTTACTATACAAATAGTACTGTTCTAAGCTGTGTACATGTATGAACTCATTTCATTTTTACAGAAACCCTATTTAGTGTCTACTACTCTTTTCTTCATCTTATCAATGAAGAGGAAGCACAGAGATCTTAACTTGCTTAAGGGCACATAGATAATAGGTGGTAGAACTGAGATTCCAATCAAGTTGGTCTGCTTCCAGATTAACAACGAGAGTGAATTTGAGAAGGAAAATAAATGACTTGAAGGTGTTGTGAATATACTTTTAATGTAATCTACATTCTTGCTCTATTAAAGTTTCAGTGTTTTGTCACTTAAGATGTTCTTTGAAGACATCAAATTAACTAACTTGGGGATAACTCAAGAATACTTTAATTACGGTAGGATAAATTCCTTCAGATTCTAGCTGTACCTGACTTTAAGGTAAGGACAGAGAGAATTATTTAAAGTACATTTCTTTACTTCAGTCAAATAAATAAATATTAAAACACAAAAGCTTCATAGTTTATTATGAAAAGTTTAAAACAATTTAGGGGGTCAGAAGAAGTAGAATTGCTTGTTTTAACTTAGATTTTAGAAGATACTACCAAATGGGGTATGCATCTTAGAAGAAAATTTTGTGGTGTTATTAGTAAGAGAACATGAAAATATGGTAAACCCTATTTATGGTATGTTCTTCCTCCATTGAGGAGAATTGTTAAGCATGAAGAAAGAGGAACCTTTGATCTTTCATAAGAACACATCCCCAAATGCCCTAGAGTTCCCAGAAATTCTCCAGTGACCTTCCATAGGAGATGAAGTTTCCTCCACCACTGGATATAGAGACTACATGTAAAATTTCAATTTCAACAGAAAAAAGTTCAGCTGTGAAAAACAATCTAAGATCTTAAGACATTAAGAATGTAATTTTTAATTGTAATTGGCACATTTTGTTGACTACATGAATGAGCAAATGGATAAATGGAGTCTGAATTCATTTGCTAGTATATTTGTGTATTTTAAATGTAAATACGTTTCATTGTGTGCATATATGCTTATGTACTGTTTGATCATCATAACTGCCCACAAGTTAAATCTTATCAGACATCATGAATATGAACAGTCTCTACAAAAGGCCAGAATTCTAAGGTAAAATAAAACAAAAACTCAGTTACTGGATACCAAAACCTTGGATATATCTAAGCAACCAAATTGCGAGCTGGAGTTTTTAGCTCTTAATTAGGGTTTCTCAATATAAAATAACCAAATAATCAAAAGCTACGATAATTTTCTGAGACATACACTTTGGCATTTTGGACATAGACAAAAAAGATAGCATGTCTCTTTGGTACCAAAACATTATCTTCATGGATATTATCCTTTTGGGAGAACAATGTGATTCCCTGTTAATGTCTCTGAGTCCTTCCCACATTTCATCAGAAGTGAGAATAAAAAGGAATACCTTCGATGTTGAATCTGGCAGTGACTGAGGGGGAAGAAGACTTGCTCTATGATTGTTCTGGTCTTTCAGTGAAGACTTTCTTCCACCCAGTTTAATATTACAGAAAAATTTTATTTTTTTAACTTCAAAATATATTGTCTTTTTTCTTCCTGTTTTCTGGCTCAATCTCATGATCAGTGCTGTTGGCAATAAATCATTTTTCCATACTAAGAATTTCATTGGAAATATTTTTTAATCACAAATGTAGAAAAGTAATTAAAATAACTTGCTAAGAGAAATAGGTGCACTGCTCAAATAATCCTCTCTTTGTAGCATTTTTACATCAAGTTTGAGGATTAGAAACTGTTTTGTTTTAAATATGTGAAAGAGAATGTGTTTCCACATTCGTGCATAAGCTCCTCCAGAAGTGATAACTTAGAAAAAGTATAAAAAGAAGGAGAAAAAAAAAACCATCTCCAGGAAACTATTCAAGTCATCTCTTGGTATAAACCAACTAGCCATGCATAAAGGGAACATAGAGTTCAGTGCAACACCAGAGATTTAATTTACAAAAGAAACAACAAAGCATTATTGAATGTGCAAAAAATAATGTCTCTGTAGCGAAAAGGCTGAAGTGGGCTGGAATTGTACCAAATGACAAGTAGCAGACCTATTTTCAAGATGTTATTGTCCTTCAGGGATTAACTCAAAGGACAGTTCTGCACTGAATCTGGCCCCTTTAGCATACAGAATCTTTCTCTATTTTTTAGCAGTGTGCCAGTCACTTAGCACACATTTTCTTTCCACGTCATTCTCTCTCTCCCCCTCCGCCCACCACACATTCACATGTGCATGTGCCGTGATGGGATATGCCTATACTAGATTTAATTGTTAGATAGTCATTCGAGTTTTTATATGACCACTCTATGACAGCATAGCCCTCAGTACATAATGCAGTGCTCAACATGTATCAGAATTCCCATATATTTATTGACAGAGATTGATGGAAACTAATTATGGCTTCTTAATCTTCTCATCACAGATTCCTTCTGGAAATAGTAATATATGCTAGCCGAGGATAAAATTTACAATTTTCAGAATGCATTACTATTTCCTGTAATTTATGTACTATAGCCTTCCTGTAACGCTATACACTAACTATATCCTCAGTATTCATCTAACATATTAGAGATGTTTCTTTAGCAATTTTTTTCCCAATAACCTTTCAACTTCTTGGAACATTATTCAAACTGAACCAAATCCCATTCTAAATAAAAGTTTATATATCAGGGCTCTGGCACATCAAAAAATTGTAATACTCAGTTAATTTTGTCACATTGAATTCCTAGCAATTTGGATTTTGTATATATCAATATGTTCGTAGTAGTATAAAGTGGAGGCACAATTTAACACTGCCATTCTTTTTTTTTTCTGAACTGCTACTATTTAAACATTCATTTTTTTTTTTTTTTTTGCCTTTGATGCCCTTGTGGCTGAAGACTAGCTGTATAAACACAATAAAGTATAATAAAAGATCTGAGGCTCACTTGACCAACTTCAAAATACTTTTGTTCTACGGATTTACAGCTCTTAGCATAATAATTTGGTTGCTGGGTATAGTTTGCTAAATATTTTATCAGCAAACAGCCTGATTCACTTCTTGTAATAAATTTTCTCAGCTACCCTGGAAAATGTTAGCAATAAAAATGTCCATTCCAGATAATAGAGTCATACTTATGTAATAATTTGAAAATAGAAGAAAAATATACTAACTTTTTGTACCTCAGAAAAAAAGTCATAAATGCTTCAAAGGAAACACACAGAAATTAAAAAGCGTGATGAACATCTGCTACGTTTAGAAAACAAGCATCACCCATATTAGTAGACATTTTGTGGTACAACTGATTGTTACCTAGACACCTAAACTGTACCAAATCTACAAGAGCCTTTCTTCTGGTTTCAACTCATACCAAGAGTCTTCAAAATGATTATCTTATAGAACTAAAAGATGATTCCAGTTTCCTACTTGTATGCATACAATCTCTTGAGAAACAATTTCTGTCTAAGCTTGAACAAGTTGCCTTTCTGCTAAGTTTACTCAAGATGTGCAAAAGAGGCACAATAGTACGTATTTCTTACTATTATCTCACAGGGATGTTGTGAATATCAATTAAAGCACTGTTTGCTGACAACTTTTAGAAGTGCTAGTGCTATAGAAACACAAAGTACTCCAATTTTGAGGAATAACAAATTAACTTAGGAAGTTTTAAATCCTGGAAATTAAAGATGTATAAGAAGGGATTGGAGTTATCTATAAAATTCATGAAGTAATAATAATAACAATAAAGGTAATAATAATTTTACTTAAAATTATAGAATGACAGTGTCAAGTGAGATTTCTGCACCTGACATTTGCTGTTAATCAAATGCATATATGAATTGGTGTTGATAAAATTCAAAGATGTTTGTTATTCTGGTTGTCAGAAGATTAATTTAGTAATATGACCCTAAAATCTTGAAAATGTAAATTCTATTTGATTCAGAAATTGTTCTACAAAGTCACCCACGAGATTTTTTTTTTTTTTTTTTGCCTACAACATTTAATCATGGATAATGTTGAAAAAGTTAGCTATAAAAATGTCCACTGCAGTGCTGCTTTTCACAGTAAAAATATGGAAGTAACCTCAATACCCAGGGAAAAAAGAATAATTTAGGTAAATAATGATGCATAAATATGCTAAACTACTTTGTAACCAAATAAAATTATTTTCTCGAAAAATATTTAATGATATGAAAATAAGTTCACAAACTGAATGAAAACAATAAGGTTACAAAAATATTAAGGATGATTTTTATGTTTACATAAAGATAGCATACATTTCATTTTTGCATCTAGAGATGGAGATACCTATAGAGACAGAAATAAGTCTGTACAGATAGAGATAGAACTGGAGACAGATTGAGAAAAACAAAGACAGATATCCCTATACTGGTAAACTTGGAGATTTAAAATAGAGATAGAGGCATCTATACAGAGTAATAGAAATATATCAGTGGAGATAGAATGCATATTTATATGTAAAGAGATATAAATATGAATATATATACAAAAAATTTAAGAAATTATAGTTAGTAAGAATTAAAATTATTTTCTTTTATCTGTTATTTCCAAATTTTCTAAAATAAATATTTAATATTTTGTTAAAAAAAGTACTTTAAAATACAAAAAATAAAGATCACCATAATTGTACCAATAACATTACTACTGCTGTTTTCTGTTTGCTATTTTAATTCATAACAGGAAGAAAATATTAAAACCCCATTAGTCTTCTCTAATAATAATCTAATTAGTTCGTTAATTGTATTGGTAAGGAATTGATAACATATTTAAAACTTTCCAGATTTACATAAAAACTCTTGGAAACAACTATCCCATGTGCATTTAACTGATTAAGAATGTAGTTATTTAGCAGTGAATTTGATGAAACCAATGGGGGTGCATATTAAAGCCAAAAGAGAATAACACATTAGAAAACATGAAAATAAGAGTCTCAGTCCCAGTTCTGCCAGTTACCAGGCGTCAATCCTTAAAATGTTTACTAAAAATCTCCATCTTAGTTTCTTCACATAAAATTGGGCTACAAATAATTTTCCATCAACATTAACAGAGATATTTGAATAGAGAATCTGATGATATCATAAAATCTATAGTTTATATAAGCAAGATAGTAGAATTATTATCCTTTAAAATAAATCAGGAAATTGGCAACTCAAATGAATTGCCATATTTGTAACTCAGAATAAAGTGTTTAACTCAACATTTTAATCCTTTAGAAAGATATTTTATAATAAATACATGATTTCTGAAGTTTTCTTACTCCTTTATAAAGAAATGTACTATACAATAATTAGTAAAAACTCATAAATATCAAGATAAGTAAAAGAAAATAACTTTCAATAAACTCAAGGAATACATACAGTAGTTTTATACCCTCTGTTCTATATTCTTCTATGAAGTGGATTGTGAAAGCACTGATGTTTCTAAATTGGATACATCATCTTAATTAGAATCTTCTGTTTAATTTTTGATTTGAGAGCCTTATACTCCTCTTGAAGTATTCTAGAATTAAACTACTTCAAGTGTGTTCAAAAAGAAAGTTGAAAAATGTGGAGGTCAAGGAAATTAATTTATCCCAAAAGTATCTAAGGACCATCTCCTCTATCGGTATAAAATAAAAATCTTGTTCTCTGGAGGCTCATAATCTAGTTGATGATAGATATAGATAGATAGATAGATGATGATGATAGATAGATAGATTAGATAGATAGATAGATAGATGATAGATAGATAGATAGATAGATAGATAGATAGATAGATAGATATACTATTATGTGTCCAGTATGGTTTGGCTGTGTCCCCACCCAAATCTCAACTTGAATTGTATCCCCCAGAATTCCCACGTGTTGCAGGAGGGACCAGGGGGAGGTAATTGAATCATGGGGGTCAGTCTTTCTGGTGCTATTCTCGTGATAGTGAATAAGTCTCATGAGATCTGATGAGTTTATCAGGGGTTTCTGCTTTTGTTTCTTCCTCATTTTTCTCTTGCCACCACCATGTAAGAAGTGCCTTTCACCTCCTGCCATGATTCTGAGGTCTCCCCAAACATGTGGAACTTTAAGTCCAATGAAACCTCTTTCTTTTGTAAATAGCCCAGTCTCAGGTATGTCTTTATCAGCATCATGACAACAGACTAATACAATATCTCTGGGAGTACTGTTGTGAAAGACTGAAGTAATGGCCTTTAGATAAAGGACTACAGACACCTAGAACATTTATATACCATTTAAGAAATAACTATTTAAGCATATTCATTGAAGATATGTATGCTCTAAGAGAGTTAATGGAGCTTTTCAAATATGTCAGCTCCCCTGTAGCATTATCTATAGTATTATAGATTTTATATATATATTTATAATCTATATGTAAATATAGATTATAATCCATCTATCTATCCAAAGAGATCAGTTAAAAATGCAAATCAGTAAAGGACTTAAAATTCCCCCAAATGCCATAGGAATTCACAAAAAAAAGGACATCATCCTATTTCTAGTATTTTTTAATTGATTAAGCATCATTCTGCTATATACAGAAAATCAGATTCCTGAGAACTTGTTAGGCTTTATGCAGTAGCCCTTGAGCTGCTTGTTACCAAGAGGTTTAGCTGTCAGATTAGTTCTTGCAATTGTATTTCATGTCTAAATTAGTGGATTTCATATTATTACCAGTAACCTCTTCATCTTGATTATCTTATGTTACATATCTTGTATCAGAGCATCCTTTCTATTATTCACCTTCCACCACTACTATTATCATCACTACCATTACTTTGAAAAGGAAGAAGAGAATGGGGGAAGAGGAAGAGGGGGAGAATTATAATAATGGCAACAGTAGCTGTCACTTGCTGAGCATATACTGTGGACCAGGTACTATGCTATGCATTTTATATTGATTATTTCATTTAATGTTTACAAAACTATGTTGTAGGCCCCATTTTATGAATGAGAGCATCACTTAAGTCTCCTACAATTAGGAAGCGGCAGAACCATGAATCTAACATCAGAGCCTTTGCTCTTAACTGCTATAGGCGGGCTGACATATTTGAAAGCTCCATTAATTCTCTTAGGTCACACATATCTTCAATGAATGAATATATTTAAATAGTTATTTCTCAAATGGAAAATAGATGCTCTAGGGTGTTGTTGGCCTCTACTTATAGGCCTTTACTTCATTCTTTCACAATAGTACTTCCAGAGACACACACCATTTAACTGATTATGTTTACTTTCCTAGTAACCTTCCAAATAACGACTCATTTCTCAAAATATAAAGAACAAGAAAATTAGGTAATTAAAGATGACTTTAGAGCTGTGTCATTAATGCAATGGTAGTGATGAAAATACATTATGTTAATATACAAAAGACCTGATTTCCCACCCTTTAAATATTTCTCAGTACACTTTTTTTTCTGCTGAAGGTGAAAGTCGGACCTATGCCCTTGTCAGTTCTAAAACTGACAATTTTAATGTAATTCAGCTTTTCTAGATAAATATGTTTTCACTCATACTATAGTATGCTCTATTCATATTCTAGGAAATATTTAAAATGTAGGAAACACTAATGATGACTCTAAAGTTTCTCTATACCAAAATTCAAGAAGCTACTACTTAGCTCTAAAAACCACTTGGAAGGGCTTTCCTTGGTTTGTGGAGGGAAGAATCAGGGAGGGGTCAATAGGTCAGAAGTCTGGTTATTAGAAGACAAGACAGTGTGCCAAATTTGTTCAACCACAAATGGTTCCTGGCTGTTGAGCCATCTGTAGTCCCTGTTATTTGCCAATGTGCAGTTTTGGCTAAGGTGCAAGAACATGCATAACAAAAGAATTATCAGACAAATTTAACTAAGATAAAAAATAAAATGCAGTTTTGTATGTTAATTTGCTTGCTATATTTTACCTTCTTCGTGTGTCTCCTCTTGAAATACTAAAATGCATGTGAATAAGTCAGATGTTTCTAATTTGTTCTCAACCTACATTTGGTCATGTAGTAGACACGCTCCATGAGTCAGCACCAGGCTTCAGGGATAAGAGATATTTTTAGTTCACCTTCAAGCCAGTAGAATGTAGTCCCATAAAAAGCAAGTTCATTTGGCAAAAAAAAAAAAAAAAAAAAAATATATATATATATATATACACACACATATTTATCTTAAGTCATATATAAATACAGAGACATAGTTCAAGAAAATGAAGGAAAAGTGAACATTTGAAATTTCTGACATTAAGCAGGACAGCATTGTATACATCTTCTATGTTACATTCTGAGTTAAGAGGGTTTCTTTGGTAGTTGACTCAACTAGGAAACTGGAGTTGAATAGCTATGACATATTTTTACAATGTTTGTAAATTCAAAAGCACTTTTTGACTCACTTCATTTTATTCATGTAGTTATTCAACAAAAAATAAATCATCAAATATTTTCTATGTACCAAGTTCTCTGTTAGGTACTGAGGATGCAAAATTGAATTATACTTTCTTAGTCCTTGTCTTTATGGAACTTAGAGCTTCAGAAGAAAGATACATAAACAATTAATGATAACTCTATATGAGAAATTCCATAAAGATAGAAATTTCAAAAATATTAAACCATTTTATCTTTACACTGTTCCTATAAGCCAAATGTGGTTCACAGTTGCCTCCTTGTATTAAAGGTAGCATTGGATATGGGGTATGATGTGAATTTGTTAGGGCCTCAGAACTCATTGAAAGCAGTTATGATGAGGATACCTATCTCTAATCACTCACCTTAGCATTAGTACATGCTACCTCTTCCAGTTAGTCAAGATAACATTCTAGAGGCTTTGATTTATACATGCTTTGGCTATCGTTTTAGATAAGCAGAGAAATATCTGTTGATGCTCTTAGCAATCTTATAAGCAATTATTCCTATGCTTGGCCATTTCAGCAATGTTTAAACCTCTAATAATCTTGTAAAGACAGGATACATTTTCTGATTAATCTTTCTCAGTGTTTTCACTATTTTGAGAGTCGTGACCTTTATCAGTCAAGAAAATTACCATTTTTTATGCTCATGATCTTAATTCCCTCATCCACATTAATCTCATTCAACCAAATTTGGGAGAATTCCAGGCCTACACTGCTAGTTAATTTACAGATTCCTATCTGTGAGTACACAGTACTGTAGAGCCTGAAAATGCAAAGCATAGGCACAGGCTGGAGAGGCCAGGCCTGAGAACATGAGCACAGGCTGGAGGAAAGCTGCCTCCTCACCCCAGTGATCTGGAAACTGATTCAAAGAACCTTTCCAAAAAGCATCTTCAGGCAGAAGAATCTCGATATGACACAGGCTTATGTGTTTCAAATGAAACCCTTTGGCCCCCAGTACTGTACCCTTCCTTTCTTCTCAAGCTCTTAACTGCCCCCAAGTGACAGAATCATACATTTCATGGCAATGGATATCAGTTATGGAAAAAAAAAATGCCTAATAATTGAGGGATAGACTTTTTGTCTGACAGATATTGTTTTAGAGCTGGTCTATGAAACTCATTAGCTATATAACATTCAGCAACATATTTACTCTCATCTGTGAAGTCGAGGTTTAAAAAACTATCTATTTTAGGGTAATTAGAAGGATTAAATGAGGCAATGCACAGAAGTATTTAGCACAGGGTCTGGCATGTAGTAAAATAGACAGGATTTACCACATTTTACAAAGATTACTTCCTAAGTTTCAGTTTCATCTGTGAAATAGAAATAAAAATAATCTATTCCATAAACATGTGATAATTTAATGAGGCCATGCATGTAAGTATTTAACTTGTCTCTCCTACAATGCAAGCTCAATAAATGCAAACTATTAGTATGTTGTACAAACATAAAGTTACAGTGAAAGTTATTTTAACCTACAATTAATTGACTACCTGGATTAATCAAAACCTCTATTCTTTGTGTAAAACATATGAACTGTCGTCCAAAATATCCAAACACAACAGCTAGTCAGATACCATCTAGATAGAGCAACCATAGATCTTAGTTTGTCTTAGCCAGTCATAGTTATGCTCTCTTTAATTTCACAAGTATTTAAACTTGGGTGATAAATTATATGGTCACCCTTTAAGTACATTGGAAGGCCTCTTCCCTGCCTCTTCCCTGCCTGAAGATTTGTACCCTTACCATACAAAAGTGATACCCTTTATCAGTTTCCAATGGTGTTTTTGCAAGTTTTAGTTATTAATGTAATTTCATCATTCAATTAAAATTTACATAAATTGATGAGAAATGCTGTGGATTTATATATAATCTAATATATAAAACAACAGATCTATATATAAAACAACTAATCTATAAAACAACAGTGCTGAATCACAAATCCAAATGCATCTTAAACAGAGGTTCTTGCTTTCAGTTGCTAGGTGATAACCTCCACAGCCCCATAAAACAATGATAATATAAAGATCAAGTGAACAAGAAAATGCATATCAGGTTTAAATATTAAGCTCAAAATACT
This sequence comes from Homo sapiens, assembly GCF_000001405.40. Classification (NCBI taxonomy): domain Eukaryota; kingdom Metazoa; phylum Chordata; class Mammalia; order Primates; family Hominidae; genus Homo; species Homo sapiens. The sequence continues at coordinate 75,089,036 of NC_000012.12, forward strand.
ATGAATTAATTTTGGAAGATTGACTACAAATGTTCATAACAAAAGAGCATCACAAATTAAGAATAAATCTTTATGCTTATATATCAGAATTCAATTTATGTATACATATATGTATGTTAATTACTAAAGAAAAAATGGAAACAGATTAGGTACAGCCTGGTGATTTATTTTCTCTGTTAATATTCTATGAAAAATTAAGTGCCTATATAATTCTACTGTAATGCGCTAAAGTAATGTATTTAATCTGCAGTCAATTAATACATAAACTTTTATGTTAAATAAGAAAGTGTCATTGTATCCTCAATATTCACTATGTAATACTCCTGAATTAATATCTTCTCTTAGAAGCCTGTGTAATATAACTATAAAATAGATTCTTGTTCCACAAGTAATTGAATTGGGCTCTTCTTTGAAAGATTATCTTGTCTACAGTGAAACCGGTTAAATAAAAATACAATCCACCTATATTTAACATATGATTTATAAATTTTAAAATATTGAATATTGTTTTATCTACATGTTTCATTAACATCAATGAAAAAATATGCAGTTAAAAGAACATGCAACTTTTAACAGTTTTATACTTAGTCACAATTTTTTTCCATTTTCTTTACAAGTGAGGACTTTGATGGAATTATTGCAAATGGAATTATGGTCTCCAAACTGCTAATAATGTGTTGTTTCAGATTAAAATATCTAGACCTGTCCTATCCATCTTTGTAGCCCTTAGCTATAGAAACTATTTAACTTTAAAGTAATTAAAATTCAATAAAATTTAGAATTCAGTTTCTGGGTTACATGAGTCACATTTCAAGCGCTCAACAAACACATATGGATAATAGTCGTCGTATTAAGCAATGCAGATATAAAACATTTCCATCATTCCAGAAAGTTCTACTGGACAGCCTTGAACTATGCTTTAGTGGAAGCTATTTCCAGCTTTGATTTGCTCTATGTACAGTATAATGGTCCAGTTTAAGACTTTCCAATAAGCTGGATTAGGAAATTTTGAAAATAATATATCATTTTTATTAACAAACCAATTGATTTGGGGGTGCTCCCTTATAAGAAGTTCAAATTATCATTCCAACAGTCTAGATGGCATCTCTACAGTAAGTTTCTACATATCGCTAAACACATTACTTTCAGAAATGCTAAATGTCTTCCACATATTCTCCAAAGCTTCTGTTTTCTTGCTTCCCTTATCGATGTTTACAGATCTATTATCTTCTTAGCCACCTATCTCAAAATAAATCTTCAAAATCATATTTTTTTACTTTTTCCTCTTCCTTCTCTTCATGCTTTTAATAGGCCATTATGCCCTTTTTTACACCAGATATTTTTTTTCCTCTCCACCCTCACTGCCACTATCTTATTGACTTCTTTTTCTCACTTTAATCCATCTTCCAAACAAAAGCTATAGCAGCCTTCTTAGAACTTAGAAGACAGAGCTAACTACAAAATGAAGTTCAAACTGCTTAGCACAGCATTAAGGAATTTCAGGATCCTTTACCCCTGCCACCAGTGACCCCTTACAAGCCTAGGTAACTACAGTTGTAATTTTTAAGAAATCTCAATGAACCAATTGTTAGAAGCCTTTTCCAAATACCTGAATATAAATCCATGTCTTTGTGACCCTCACTTCCTCGATATATAGAGTGAAGGAAAGAATATTTGATGTCAGGAATAGTTTAGAAATTATAATTAAAGCATGTAGCAAATTGTTGTTAATATCATCATTATCATCATCCTCATTACCATCATCATCATCATCATTTGACTCTAGCCTCCAAGTGTCTAACTGCATTCTCAAAGATGCCTGAATAGACAAATTAATAAAGACCCTTATGTTTTATTTCACTGGTGAAGAAAAATGGGTCAGCCAATGCACCATTCACTTGCCATGACCAATCACATCAATTAAGAAGTAGCCTTAGGATTTTAATTACCTTCTCATTACCTCTAAAAGCTACTGAGTGGCTGTTGCATCTCAATGCTGTACATAATCTTAAGTTGTTTTAATATGATTTCTGATTTTAGTGCATAGATTTTCATTGTGCTTCTCCTGATGCAAAGATCACATTTGTAGTCTGCATGCCTTATTTTCCAGACATATTACAATACCAAAGCTACTCAGTTATTGATGTTATTCTATTTCCACTAAACAGAAATTATTGAATTATTATTACTATAATGCTCATCTCAATTTTTATTATCCTTCATTTGAATTTTTTTTATTCTTCAACTTTTTCTTTTCAGCTCTTTGTGTGGCAACAGTGGTAGGACCAATATGTCATTGAAGTAGCTGCCTTTTGGCCTCATGAAGGCAACTTGTTATTAGCAAAAGCAAAGAATTTGCTGAATGATCATAACATCTGTATGAGCCTGTACTGGCAAGTCAATCTTGAATTTCAGCTTTCTTCGTACATAGTTCTGTTTTGAGAAGCAATAAAATAATGCTTGAAAAGTGGTTTGTCCACTGGGGAGCTTGGAAAAAACAATAGTACTTTTATCCTCACGAAACCTAGCGGGAAAGTTGGGTATTGTGTTGCTCTAATTAGAAAGTCTTTACTCTCTGCGATGCAAAATAGGTTTTTGTTTAGTTTATTTTTTAAAAAATCAGTTTAGAAGTTGTTAGAATATGTGGGGAATTTTATCTCATTGATGGGAAAAATATTTATAGTTCTCAAAAATAACCTACAAATGAGTAGGCACCTATACAGTGCTATGTTAAAAAAAAATCTATGTAGACAATAGAATACTATAAGGATTGCAGGCAAAGATAAAAGTGTATGCTTTAAGATATAATATATGGAAATACTATACATTTTGGATGTAAGTTGGAACTTATAAGATCTAAACTATTTTCTAATTTATGGTAAATAATGAAGTACTCAATTATGGTAATTAGTTGATTGAAGATAAAAAATATACATGTTTCATTTCTATATTCTGATTTCCCTTAAATATCAGGATCATTCTATTATAACCATGTTTCTCAAAATGTACTTTCTGGGCCAACAGCATCAGATCCACCTGAGATGCTTGATTGAAATGCAGATTTCTGGAAGAATCTGACTTTTGGTTGTGAAACCTCATCTGCATTTTATTTTCATCCCCTATATAACTCCTAGTGACTAAAAATTTAAGAACACTGCACTTAAGAACAAAGTAAAAGCAACTGAATGGCAAAGTCAAAGCCACGTGAAAGGCCACATAGAATTTCTCTATTTCTCTCCTCAAAATCATGCAGAAAAATTAAAATCCTTGCTTTAGAAGTAGAGAATATCAGCCTGTATAATTTCTCTTTAGGATAATGGATCTGATTTTCAAATTTTCTTGACAAAGTTTTGATAATTAAATAGCAAAATAGACTAATGCTTATATGGCTAACATAAAATTATTTGTAAAAATAGCTTAATCAGTGTAACACTCTCTGGGGGAATAAAAAGCTTATTTTTCATTGCCTTGCAAATATATTCAAGCATATTTTACTCAAGTTTTCATTAAAATTCACTGATGACAACTTATATAAATATCTTCAAGGCAAATTAGACAAAGACATCTATTCCTGAAGAATGAGATTCTCCCCTGGGTAAATGATAATTATGATACTCAATTGTACAAAACTCTAAACAACACAAAAACATTAAAATTTTATAGTTAAAAAATAAATGAATAATTGTCAATCTTCTCTTTTCCCAACCTCTTCATATTTCTGCCAAAATCCCTAATACAAGAATAACACACATATGAAGTATTACATTTCAGTCCAAAATATAATATTCTTTTAATAAAAAGAACAAGTTAATAGCTTTGCTGAAAATTAAGCCTAATATGTGGATAAGCTTATTATATTGCAGTAGAAGTCATTCTTGCATCTATTTTTCAATCTGTTCATCACTAATCTTTATCACAGGGATGACTATGACATTAAAATGCAATAAATCTAGTGTGTGATTGTGATTTGACCTTTAGGCTTTTTTTTTTTTTAATCGTTCGAGTAGCTATCTGTTTCTTCTATATCTAAAACCTTCCAAGGAAATGAGGGTGGAGAGTGGAAAGAAACCAGTGCAGCTATTGAAATTTTTTAATCAATTCATGATTCATAGAATCAAAATATTCTGGCAACCATAAACATAAAAATAAATGTACATATTCAAATAGAATGGCAACAATTCATAAAGTAGATTAAATTTAGGAACATCTTTTAGAATCTGTTCTCCTTTATCACAATGTCAATGGTCTTAGTAATGTCAACTTCGCATATGTTACAAGATCAGTTTAATTCCACAAAAAGAAAAGATTTGTCAAAACGTGTTCCTACCCTCATGTGGCTATGGAAAGGCAATCTCTGTAAGAAGCTAGAGGTCCTGCAAACCTGATTCCCTGAGATGCAACATCCCTCCTTGTTGAAAATAAGAAATATTCACCACTAATTGACCACCCATGCATCAATGGGATATTAAAAGACCCGAAGCTCCATTACAGCTTATTCATAAATGAAGCATTAATTTTGTCTAGCGGTATTAATCACAACATATTAAAATTGAAGTACCCTTAAATTTAAAGGATTTATGAAGTGGTCAAAGATGCTTAATTTACAGTTGGGCCTTCATTTAGATATGCTGATCTTAACATAATGTGACATTGTGCTTATTTCACTAATTTTGCTTCAATTTAAATGGCCAATGGCAGCTAAAACTCATGTTCACCCACAGAAGATTCAAGGTTTTCAAAAATATTAGGACTAAAATCTTTATTATTTTCAATTAAGAAACATAGGTCTACTGACCAGCAAGAAAACTGAGGTAACGTGAGACTGTTTCACTAGAAGGTCCCACTTACAGAGCTGAATTTAATACATTTTGATTTATATTTAGGTTGGTGAAAAAGTAACGGCAAAAACAGCAATTACTTTTGCACCAACCTAATAATAATGCATAGGCTCGGAACAGTACTTTACTAATCCCTTTTCTTTTTAAATTGTTGCTAACTTTCCACTTAACTAAAAGGCAAATTCTTGCTTCCCCTTTGGGTTGAGATTCAGAGTATTAGACCTGCACATTTAGATACTGGTTCACCATTTTGGCACGTACAACTTTCTGCTTGTTAAGAGTAAAGTTAAATATGATTCTCTTTTAAAGTTGCCTTTTGATTGTCCAATAACAGAAAATTTAAACATATACAAATGATATATTAAAAATAAAAAGTCACCTGCTGCCCATACACTAACATCAAGTATTTCATCAGCTAATATTTTAGAAATGGACCTCCATAAAATATTCCTTTACCAAGATAACACATAGTGGAATGAGTTATTATTCTCAAACTGAACAGAGTAACAGACTGATATATGAAAGGTGATAGAGTGATATAGCAAAATCATTCTGTTCTTGTATGCTTATACACAAGTACATCCATTCTCATGCTCTCTTAGCTTAAAAGCTGAGCCTGAAAAGCAAAATTCTAATTCTCCTCCACTCCATCAAATTTATATTCAGTAATATTTTGCATTTTCCTTTAAATTAATTTTTAAATATAGCCCCTCTGCCACCCAGTGAAATGCTTGACTTGTAAGGTCCTTGATCCTATTTAACAAGAATTTTGACCTTTCTAACAGCAACTTTCCATAAGAAGAATTCAGCAGACACTGAGAAGTTTTCAGGAATTTTTTAATTGAATCAGAGCTGATAAGGATTAATTAGCTACATCTGTCCTCATGACAGTCCTGATTTGGGAACAATAATCAAATGAAAGCTCTATCAACAGAAATTGGCAGTGACAAAAACTTACTGCCTCTCTCAAACTCAAATCCCTCCTGCAAAGATATTACAGAAAATGATGTCACAATAAGGTAGAAAACACATTAGCTACTGCTTAGAAATAGACCATGGAAGTCTAAGAACACCTAGATCTTTTTAAAGTAACAACAGGTAAAATAATAAATTAACAACTTCTAATGTCCCTTTGATATGAATAAGGCTTGAAGGCATTGTTCTTCACATAGAAAGGACCACACATTGTCAGCTCATTGAAATACTGAAGGATGAAGACTGTGCTTACTCCTTTTCTGTTTTACTGATAACAGAGAAACTGTAAGAATGAAGAAGAATGGAGAATGGTTTACAGCTGATTATTAGTACATAAAATTACACCACCATGCTACTGCTTTCATCTGCAATCTATGATCTTTATCTTCAAGTGGTTCCTCAGTACTGGCAAGCAACTCTATTATATTCTCTTAGTTAGATCAAATTCATGGGTTTAGTTGCACAGGGCCCACACACAGAATTGTCCCATATTTGGTTTAATCTCCCACTGTTGCTGTCTTGAAATTCTTAATTTTTAATAGAAGCCCCACATTTTGCATTTTTCCCCGGCCCTGCAAATTATGTTGCCTTCCCTGTTTCTAGTCAAGTCATTCTTACGCTCCTCCAACCTTCCTAGTGATTATTTCACATCTTGTTTTCCTTCATTCCTCCAGTGTTCCCTCTCCTTCTTGTTCTCAGTTTAATGATTTGGGTATACATGTTATTTTACTACAGAAAATAAAAACAGAAAAGAAAATTTTCACTTCCTCCTACAACTATACCCAATAACTTTATTTACACCTATACCCACATTAACTCTGGTCTCTTCTTGTTAAATTGGGTGAACAGCTCTTCCTTTTATCTAAAGCCACCTAATACGCAGGAAAACAATCACCTTAAAAATACTTGTTGAGTAAATGAATAAATTTTATTAATCATGTTCTTAAATATTTGTTTACTAAATCTACTAAATAAATTTTCAAATTTTCCTGATCTTGACTTTCATACCATAATTATAATAATTTATTCTAATTTCATTAGAGAATAATGTGGACAGGTACTTTATATCAAATTTTATCAACCATAGGAATGTATTTCAAGTAAGATGGCTATGGCCAAAGATTCAATTTACTTACATTTGTAATTTAGAATGGCTTTGGTAAAATTGAAAAACTACTAGTGACCCTCCAAAATTCAGCTTCCACTCTTTCCCTGTCACAGGTCATTTACAGCTTGATCAAATTTCTTAATTTTCTTCATACATTACAACAGACAAATACCACAGTTGGCACTTACATTATGCCACTTTCAAGTCAACTGCAAACAGCTCACCTCAATCTTATTTCTCCATAAAAACAAAGACCCAATTCAATCTCCCCACAACTACAGGAGATTCAATTTTCACATGAAAACTCAGGCGAATGAACTAGATGAATGTCTTCCATTGTGTTCCAGAAACTCTTGATTTTTAAAAAATATTTTGGAACAGCTTTAGTGGAAGTGGGAAAAGTAGAAAGGAATCCCAGTAGATTCTCCTTCTTCTGCTATAGCATTTATCTTCCTTCTTAATAGGATTTTTATAACATTTTTAAAAAATACTCTTCTGCTAAAAATGGTTGAAGTTTCCTTACACCTCTAAATTTCTAAATAAATAATTTTCATTGAGTATAGGAAAAATCATATGGACAACTTGTTATTCAAAGGACCTATATCACAGAGAAACTGTATTTCCTCAGAAGAAAGACTGAGTGACAGTAAGAGGCAGGTAATTAGGCAATTATAAGACAAAGACATGGTAATAAACAGCAGAGGAATAAAAACAATTGCAAAAAAGTACATACCCACCCTTACACTATTCTACTACCTTCAAGCACTTAGGAAATAAGCTTATTCATATTTAATCAGTTGAAACAAACCCTGAAATTTAGAGATTAAGACAGAATAGCTTGTAATCAAGCAGGTCATAAGGTTTAGCCCATAAATATTCTTATTGCTTTTAAGCACTTAAGAAATTTCTACTTTAAAATCATGAGGAATAGTTTAATTTATAGAAACACAATTTTTAAAAAGGAATGAGATATATCCACACAAAACTTTCATATGAATGTTTATGAAACTCCATTGATAATTGCCAAAACTTGGATGCCCACAAGATGACTTTCAATCAGTGAATAGGAAACAAAGTGTGGTACTCTGACACAGTGGAATGTTATACAGTGATAACAAGGAAATGAGCCAACAAACCACAAAAAAAATTAAAGGACCTTAAATGTATATTGCTAAGTTAAAGAAGGCAATCCAAAAAGGCTACATACTGTATGACCCTAACCATATGAAGTCATGGAACAGGCAAAACTGGGCACAGTAAAAAGATCTGTGGTTGCTGGGGGTTTGCAGAAGGAAGGGAGTGACAAATAGGTGGAGCACAGGGGATTTTTACAGCATTAAAATTATTCTGTATGATTCTGTAATTGTGAATACCAGTCATTATACATTTATCAAAACCCATAGAATGTACAGCACCAAGAATGAACCCCAATATAAACTATGGACTTTGGTTCATAATAATGTATGTATATTGGGCCATTAATTGTAACAAATGTACCACACTAATGCTATATGCTGATAATAGAGGAAAATGGGAGGAGGAACATAAAGGCATATATAATAATTCTGTATTTTCTGTTCAGTTTTACTGTAAATCTAAACTGGTAAATAAATAAAGGCCCATTACAAAAAATAAATTTTCTATTTTTCTATTTTCTAAAAGGCCCATTACAAAAAAGGAATGAGAAGACAAAAGTATACTAGTGAAGTGATCCTACCTTATAAAAATGTATTAGAAGACATATACCATGATTTTTAAGAGCAAGGACTTTGAAGACAGATAGACTAGCATTTTAATTTAAGCTTTTCTGCTTATCAGCTTTTTGACTTTGGGAAAAAAAATTAACATCTCAAAACCAAAGTTTCATCATTTATGAAATAGAGACAGTGTTCGTAAATACATCCCTATGTTTGTTTTTCTCAATGTGAAATATTTAAAAACCCAATGTCCTTCTATTGTTAGGAAAATAAGAACAGTAGCAAGTTATGAGTTTGGTCAAACTGAAATATTAGTACAAATTCACTCCCTTCTCTCTATGAGAACTCTGTAATAAAGCTTATTATTTACATTATTATAAACATGTATAATTAATATGACTGGCTCATTTTCAAACATTAAAAAAAGGTGAATTTATAGCAATAAGTCTCCAATCTGAATCTCTTCCTAAGTAGATGCTGTTCTCGGCTAGATAAGAATAACTTAAGAACATGATTATCCTGTGAATATTTTATGTTAAAACACATTATCAACATTTAATAGAAGAGAAGTTTGCTTTTGCTTTTCCTAACAAGAAGCATGAACAGCCCTTAAGTACTCACATGTCTTATTAGGCACTTATATTACTGTGCTATCTGTTGCTATTTGTAAAATATTTATTTCACATTACTCTGGTTGGTTGATTTAGGTTTTGTTTCCATAGAAGACTGCAGAAAAGCCTTTCAAACATTCTAAACCTACTGTAAATCCCTTTTCTCCGTGGAATTCTTAAATTGCGTTGGTCTGGTAAAAGGAATTATTTCTAGCCAGGCACTGTGTCTCACTCCTGTAATCCCAGCAAATTGGGAGGCCAAGGCTGGTGGATCACCTTAGGTCAGGAGTTTGAGACCAGCCTGGCCAACATGGTGAAACCCCATTTCTACTAAAATTACAGAAATTAGCCAGGCATGGTGGTGGACACCTGTAATCCCAGCTGCTTGGGAGGCTGAGGCAGGAGAATGGCTTGAACTCAGGAGGCAGAGGCTGCAGTGAGCTGAGATCATGCCACTGCACTCCAGCCTGGTGACAGAGTGAGACTCTGTCTTAAATAAATAAATAAATAAATAAATAAATAAAGGAATGATATCTCAGCAATCACACTGGAAGAACTCAGAAGCTATACAAAATCACAAGTGAAGTGTTATCTGAAAAGGACTCAGGAACATCACACCCCTACCACGAGAGACCTGCTGACATGCAGTGTGAGGCTTTGCCCTCAGAGAACTTGGAAGGTTCTGTTCTCCATGCCCTGCTGATTCATTGTTTGACCTTGCCCAAGGACTCTTTTTCACTGCATGTGGCAAGTGAGCAAAAATATCTTCTATTTTCTTTAATGATGGTTTATAAATTAATAATCTTATCTAAAAACACACATCTTAAAAGGAGTGTTGCTACAAAATGTAAAATGTCACTATTATTTATGCAATTGTAAACAGAAAACTGAAATGCAATAATTTGAAAAATTATGAGTAGCGTCTAAAGGGCTGGCACAAATGCAAGGTGCCATTTGTTCTCAGATAAATTTACTTTCTAAGATTCAAATGAGAGTAAAAACTTGAATATTTCATGCACAAACCCTCAACTGTATAATGCATTCAAGGGTTTTGGAGTTGAATTTAGTTCACATTCAAATAAAGCTCAGTTCCACACACTTTTTGTTCTGTCTATGAAAGGCCCAGCTGCTTGCCCAGCTGTGTATCAGTCATTCTTGACCACAGCCCTGTGAGAGTGGAATTCTGTACTTTTGCTATTTCCTTTGGTGCTAAAAATGGTAGACATGTCTTTGCTTGAAGGTCATACAGAAAACTTCTGACTATGAGCTTGAAGATTACAAAGGAGACATTATTTAGATAATTTTATGCAAACATATGGTGTTTACAAGAATTCAATACTGATTCAATCTTATGGTTTTATTACATAGCTATTGAATGATCAATCATTTGAGGGAAATAAACTCAGCTTTTGCTCAAATACAAGATTTCTATTATCCTCATTTTAACCTCAAGTCTCTATTGAATAACTGCACATTAATAAACAAACAAAATATATTCCAAAAAAGAAAGCCACATTTCTATGACCTATACTATTTGTCAGAGTGAACCAAATAACTGTGAGCTATGGAAAAGTGAAGCAATGGATTAGAGTAAGATGAGCTTTCTCAGATACAAAATGGTGGTATGACTTGGAAAACTAGACAGGCCTTCATTTTTGCACGTAAAAATCAAACACTTGATTAGACTAAATCAAAGATTTTTACATTGTTTTTTCAGAACCTCTGGGCTATATGAAAATGTTTTAGAGAAGGCTAAGGAGGAAGAAATACAGTTCTCCTGAGTGGGGCTTTTACTCCTCTTTCTACCAGAATAGCTCTGTACGTATCTTTCTTACTATTGGGGTTCATCATAAGATTTAGTTTAATAAAAATGTTTCCCTTTCTAAAAATACATTAAATAGTAGGCGAGTTCTATAGTCTTTTTCATATCTCAGAGAAAATGGGGTTCTTCTTATTGTGTATTTTGTCCTAAAATGTTGAATGCCTCAGACTTTGCATCCATCCCTCATTCTTCCCTTATTTATAGATTTTCTAACCTTGGGTCTGGCCACAGGGAAAATTATATGAAAATAATACTAAATGGATGTCAGGAGACCTAACTCCTTATTATCTCTGTGAATCTGACCAAATCAATTCACCACAATGGCACTTAATTTTAAAGGCTCTTTAAATGTTAAAATATCTGATTTTATTGGATGACAAATGAAAAGGAAGAAAATGTAATTTTCCAAGCCACTTATGACATTGAATTTAAATTATATCATTAAGAAGATCTTAAAATTTTATAAACCTTTAACTTTTCAAATGCTTTATTTACATTACTATCATATATTCTAAAAGGTTCACAAGGTTACTATCATATATTCTAAAAATTGTTTTTAACTTCATGTATTCATCTATTCATCAATGTAACTTATTAGTGAGAACTTACTAGTTAATAGGTTAAGGAAGAGTAAACTCATCCTGTATATTGTCAATATGTTATGATTTATGATGTTTCTTGAATTTTCTAGACAACAGTAGTTATATTTCTACAGATTTAGCTAGATTTGCCTACGTATATAATAAACTAATTTCTATTGTATTGGACAAGGAAATTAGCCTCCAAAGTGAAGCTTATTGAGAGATATCTTCACATTCTGATTTATTAGTGCATTGTAACACTGAATTATGTACATTAATTTTCTTTCAGTGAAAGAAATTACATTTGAAAGGTGAGACATGTCCTCATATCTGTTACAAGGGTATTGATAAATTTAAATTAGTAAGTTTCAACTGTGACTTGATACTTTAATTGCAGACTCACTTGCCATTTTGGACATGAGACTTTTTCACACACATTTAGGCCTCCCGTCTTGGGATTTCAAACCTTATATTTATTATACAAAATTGATGAGACAAGCTTTTTAACTAAGGAGATTTATAACCCAGGTTCCATATATCCATTCAAAAAACCAATCCAGCACACTAAAAGCAGGCAGTTTGCTTGATAAAAAATATGACCATTAAACTTCTTTTCACACTGATGAGAATGGTTAAATTTCAGGTTACATGGTGTTCAGAGATGTGCTAATTCATTCTAGGGCAATTTCATGGGTTGGAACTATTCTGGGAATACCTAAAAGCAGTTTTGATGTGATTTACTAAGAAGCCACATCTTGTTTCAGAGTTGGCTGTTTGGTCTGTTACACACTTTGAGGGTACAGCTCTGAATTTAACATGGCAACAAAAAAAAGATTTAGTTGATTCAGTGCAAGAGCATAAAGAAACCTTGATTTCCACAAAAAGAACATCTCTTAAAAAGAGAAAACTTGGCTGGTCCCTCAGATCACTTTTTCTTTCTAAGAGCTAACGAGTGTAAATATACTTCTGCCTTAGGAAATAAAAAAGACCAAGAATGAGAGTTCTATATTGTCCACTTTAATATAGATTTTTCAAAGCTTTGGGTGTAAGACTAGTAATACTATAGGGTTCTTCCTTATTCTCAGCACCAGTGAAAAAGGATGAGATTAAGAACAGAAAAGGAAAACAAAAATTGCATATATACATTCCTCTGTGGCTAAATTTAGCAAGCCTTGAAATTGCTAGAAAATGAGATTTCATTTAAGAGGAAAAGACTACATTTAGATCACCAAATCATCAAGTTCAAACTGCTTATCCTAGCAATGCAAACTGACAGCATATGCACATACATAATCAAATGGGAAATAATAATAGTATGTCTCGGCGGACTGCCTAACACAAGAAAGTCAACGGCCCAAGGGATATGTCAAGAATAATTTCTTTGCATGCATTGCTCTGATGCTATGCTTTGACACAGGATTATTTCATCAGTGGAGAGTGTATGAAACTCTTAGGCAACAAACTGGATTTTCCTTTTCAGCCAGTAGGGAAGAAGGACTTAGGTAGTTTCCCTGAAACAAGCCAGTAGTGGAAGCTTGTTTAAACAGACATATTTCTATGTATGCATAAGAATCAGGAGAGAAGGAAAATGAGCCATTTTGCACACTACGTAAGGACAAAAAGAGAGAATCATGTTGAGTAAATCTGACTCTTTTTTTTTCCAAAGGAAAATTCCATCACTTAGTATAGCATTTCAAATATAATCATTAGATGCAAATGAGATGACTAAGGTGACATCTACACTGGTTACATACCTCTATTTTTGGAGAGGCTCAGTAGCATTATTATCCAGGAAGAAACCAAGCCAGTGGCCAAGATGACCCTCAATAAAAAGCTACAGCAGTGCAAATGTTATCTGCATATTTATTTAGGGTATGTATTTTTTAAGAACTCCTTTCATAATATTTATTGCCAATGGCCAAAGGCAAGCAACATTCTTAATTATACATTTATCTATGTAAACACACACATATTTCTAATTAATATATGCATACGTAATTCCTAATCATTTATGTTTTTTATTATCAAACAGTTGTGCCTTAATGGAGCTAATCAAGGACAGTATAGAAAAAAGTACGTTCCTACAAACATAGTGAGCTTTGAGTGGGCTTTAGAGAGTGCCACTGCCCATAGAATACATCTCCCCCCCACCCACACGTTTATTAATAATAGAGCTTTTAACAGGGAAACCATGCCTTCAATCTTACAATAAGATAATTTGTTTTATATAGCATTGCATGGAATGGAGTGTTTTCTTTGAATTTCTCATATAATATATAAAACTGTAACTAATACTTTCCTCAGAGCAGGTTTTCACAGTAGGAGAAAGGACCTGGGGTGTCTCAAATGGGTGCAAGCATGACAAACAGAAGATGTTAAGAGTAGATATTTGGAATGATGAAGACAATTTCCAGTTTTCTCTAAGAAGGTGCCGAATTGCTTGCAAAATAGTCTCCAAGGACAAATCATAGATCTCCAACTAAAGATAATTAAAAGAGTTAAATATAACATGCAAAACAAACAAGCTGATGAATGGAATTGGAAATTTCCAACCATGATTCAGACTATATGCGTGGGTTCCACATATCCACTATTATGGTTCCCAATTCTTTAGGGGGTTTACCCCCCTATTTGTTAAGTAGAATTGTTAAGGAGAACCTATGATGTGTCATCCGTTTCTTGAAGCCTGAAAAATCAGCCATTCATAATAGTTCACCAGTAACTTTGTATAAGATACAGAAGCAAGGGCAATACTTAGATGCCCTGATAATTGATTCTTATTCTTCACTGCCAGGGGTACTTTTATATTGTCACTTAATATCAACCAATTTGCTGGATGCCTATATCTTTTACCTCATTTGCTTATTTGCTAGCAAAGATGAGGTGAATAAAGTTTCACATTAGTAACTTAAAGCCAGCAAGTAGGAGACCTGGGGCTACAAATCTGAGTGCAAAAACCCATGCTCATTATACAAGGTTATACTCATATACAGTAGTTCCCCCTTATCTTTGGGGGATATGTTCCAAGACTCCAAATGGATGCCTGAAACTGCAAATAGTACCTAACCCTATATACACTTTTTTCTATACACAACTATGATGAAGTTTAATGCTAAGTTAGACACAGTAAGAGATTAACAACAATAATAACAAAACAGAACAATTACAACAATGTGCTGTAATAAAAGCTATGTGAAATGGTCTCTCTCAAAATATCTATGGTACTGTACTTGCCTTCCTTCTTGCAGTGATGTAAGATGATAAATGCCTACATGAAGAGGTGAAGTGAGGTGAGTGACGTAGGTATTGTGGTGTGAGTGTTAGGCTACTATTCATCTTCTGATGATGCGTCAGAAGGAGGATCATCTGCTTTGCATGATCCTGGATCATCGAGCCATGACAATGTCAGGAGACATGATGAGGTGAAGTGAGGTGAGTGGCATAGGTATTGTGGTGTGAGTGTTAGGCTACTATTCATCTTCTGATGATGCGTCAGAAGGAGGATCAACTGCTTTGCATGATCCCGGATCATCGAGCCATGACAATGTCAGGAGCAGACAATGTCAATGATCAAAAGCACGGGTGGCATCTACATCATGAATACTCTGGACAAGGGGAAGGTTCACGTCCCAAGTAGAATGGAGCAGGATGGAGCAAGATTTCATCATGTCACTCAGAACGGTACACAATTTAAAACTTATGAATTGTTTATTTCTGGAATTTTCAATTTAATATTTTCAGGCCACAAACCACTAACTGGGTGTAACTGTAACCACCGAAAGTGAAGCCATGGAAAAGGGAGGGCTATTGTATAAAGATCAGTACAGCACATTTCCTCCCAAAACAGTACCCAAGAGAAACAATATTAATGAGTATATTCAAATGAGTTCAGTAGCCGCCAATATACTTTAATTCTGAGCATGGTTTTAAAATATTACTAGTTCATACACAAATTTAACCATCATAATAATAAACTTTTACCTAGAATTTATACATTCCAGGACCTGTTCTAAATAGTTTTCAAATATCAATTTATTTACCTTTCCAACATCTTTGTATATATAGTAGATACGCATATGGAAACTGACATACAGAGAAGTTAAGTAACTTGCCCAAAGTTACACAATTAAGTAAATGATAGAGTCAGGATTCAAACCCAGGCAGTATGGCTCCAGACTCAGGAATATTACCACTGGGGCAGCACTTCCTTTTAAGTAATAAAAACATTTTCTTAATATTAGTGGCAATTATATCAGTCCATTTATTCAACAAATTTTTTTAGTATCTCCCATGTTAGGCACTGATTTAGGCACTTGAGAATTAAGCAAAGATCAAAAAATATAGAAGTCCCTGCCCTCAGAGAGGTTTTATTCTGGTAGAGAAGTCAGACAAAGACATATCAACAAGTAAAATATGTGGTATGTAAGTCATTTGGATAATAATAAAGCAAAGAAGTTGAATAAAAATGGCTAGATGTACAGGGAGTGAAGATTTACTATTTTTAATCTCCTCATTGCAGAGTGACATATAAGGAAAAGGCTGAAGGAAGTGAGTGTGTAAAACATATAGATACCTGGGAAAAGAGTAACTCTAGCAAAGGGAACAGCAAGTGTAATGAAAAAAAAATGCTTAACTCATGAATTACATAGTAAGAAGTCCAGTGTGTCAGAAACAGAATTAACAAAGGGACAAACTGATACAAGTGAAGTCAGAGACAAACTTCAGTAGGTTGTGTAGATCTGTGGAAGGACTTTGGCTTTTACTTTGAAAATAATAGGAAGCCATTCTTGTATTTTCAGGTGAAGGATGTGTTTGTTTAAGAATAGATTAAGAGGACAAAGGTGAAGGCAGGAGGCCCATTAGAAAGCTACATCTGAACAAGTACTGGTGAAATGATATGGGCTTGGACTTGGGAAAAGAAGTATTAAATTCTAGATATATTTTCAAGGCATAGAAACAGAATTTCCTAAGGAATCGAATGTAAAGAATGAGAAAAGGGAAAGCATTAAACTTGACTTGAAAGTTTTTGGCCCATACAAATCGAAGAATCAAGTTGCCATATCATGAGATGGGGAAGACTTTTGGAGGAGTTGGTTTAGAAATTACCATGATTTCGTTTTGGGACATGTTAAGTTTGAAATGGTAGCTATAAGGTAACTGGGAGGAGATGTCAATTAAAGTTGAATATAAGAATCTAGGTTTTGGGGAAGAGGATTCATATGCATCAGCATAGAGATAAATTTCTTTCTTTTTTTTTTTAGACTTGGGGAGATCACTTATAGAGAGAGAGATTGAGAGAGACAAAGTAACAAGAGTTTTAAGAACTGAGCTCCCAGAAAATTCAATCATTAGGATACTGTGGAAGAAAAAACAGTAAAAGAGACTAAGAAGGAACAAACAGAAGATAAAGGGAAACCAGACGGTCTGAAAAAACAAATGTTTCAAGCAGGAAAGAATGATCAACTGTGTCAAATGCTGTTGATGAATCTCAGTGTTGTCAAGGATTTAAGATTTAACCTTAGTTTTAGCTAAGTCATGGTGATGGGTGAACTTGAAAAGAGCAGTCTCAGTGAAATTGGGAGTTAGAAACCAGAGAGTGGTGGGTTCAAGTAAGACTTGGAGGACAGGGAATGTGGAGAGGAAATATGGACAGCTCTTTTGAAAAGTTTTTTCTGTACAAGAGAGCAGAGAAATAAGGTGGTGGCTAGAATTAACCACCATATGATTCTATGCTGTTAAGAGTTATTCCGGTGGTAAGCTAAAAAGAAATGATCCCCAAGAGGGAATGAATAACTGCTGGGGAGGTGTCACTAAGGAAATGAGATGAATAGGACTTACTGAGCAAAAGGAGGCATTATTACCTTGCAGGGAGAGGAAAAGTTCATTCATAGAAATAGGAGAAAATCAAAGGATGAAGGTATAGGTAATGGATGCATATAGATACATAGAATCATACACAGGTTTCTTCCAGATTGATACTATTTTCCCAATAAGATAGAAGGTAAATAAAAAACACCACCACCACTCTTATTAATAGAGCATCAATTCTGTAGCAAGCATAAAGCCAGGGCTATTAATTGTGTCTTAATACCTCTTATAATTTAAATATTATTCTTATCCCTATACTACTATGGAGAAAGCAGATATAAGCAATGGCACAATTTATATATTCAATTTCAAAAATATTTTTAGATTTAACACATGTTAATATTTAGGGAAAGCCAATATTAGTCAAGCATTGATATATACTAATGAATAATATTTTTAGAATCAACACTACTTTCTATCAGCAAATTTAATGTTGATTCATTTTTTCTTTAATATTAATAAGATCAGTCAAAAGTAATATCATGGGGGCTGGGCGTGGTGGCTCACGCCTGTAATCCCAGCACTTTGGGGGGCTGAGGGGGGCAGATCATGAGGTTAGGAGATCGAGACCATCCTAGCTAACATGGTGAAACCCTGTCTCTACTAAAAATACAAAAAATTAGCTGGGTGTGGTGTCACACACCTGTGGTCCCAGCTACTCTGGAGGCTGAGGCAGCAGAATCGTCTGAACCCAGGAGGTGGAGGTTGCAGTGAGCCAAGATCACGCCACTGCAATCCAGCCTGGGTGACAGAGGGAGACTCCATCTCAAAAAAATAAATAATAATGGCAATAATAATAACAATAACAATATCATGGGGATATGGAGTTGAAAGAGTAGGCATAATTGCTAATTATAACAAATTTATAATTTATTATAACATTAAAAACAATAAAAGTAAAATATTTTTCAGCGTCTATGTGTTATCTGAAATGTTTACTCTATTCACTAACCGCTGTCAGAAAAGATTTCTCGAAGATTAATTTTCCATTAATGGTATGACCAATCAGTCTCCTGATATCTTTGTTAGATTTATGGTTTCAGTTGAAGAGCAGAATAAAACATAAAATACATCTGTTTATTTGAATGTATTTCTTGCAAATACTCGCAAGTAACACAGTTACACATTTCGAGTTTAAACGTCAAAAGAGTAAAAGGAATGTGGTGATGGCAACTGAAAAAAAAATCAATGTTTGAGTAAACTCTAAGAGCAAACAGAGAAAATTAATTCCTAAGTCATTAATTTTACTTTTTCTAAAATATTCAGGAAGAGCTGCAAAAGAATTGCTTTTACCTGATGCATATGAAAATTTGGAGCTCTCCAGACACTCTTACTTTCTGAAAGTAGCAAGTAGAATCCTGCATATACATCTAATTTACTTTCAAATTCTATATTCACATTATAAAAGACTTTTAAAAAAGAGGGAAAGGGAAAAGGAAAGAAAACAAGTACAGTGTTTAAAAATAAAAAGTCACAAAAATCGTCCTTAGGCCTATGACCTTTGGGAGCTGGCACATTACTTCAATCGATAGTAAGAAAATGTTTGTTGAATACATTAATAAATAAACATCAAACAGATATTTGCTACATTTTGGGTTATTTTCCACCTTCCACTTTATGAAATGAACTCTCCAAAGCTAACTAAATAGATCCAAGAAGGATTAATTAACAGCATGAGTTTTTGACTCAAGATGTTTCAGTAATGGATATGCACTATACTAATGTGTCCTTGGGCAAGCTACTTAACTTCTCTGATCTTTAGTTTCTACACACAGAAAATAGGAGAAAGATATTTCTAATTTAATGATAACATGCCTAAAGCATGTAGGCAAGGGGTCTGCAACAATATAAATGAGATAGCTGATGTTATGATGTTATGATTAGCAACTTACCTTGCATTGCCAGATTAGGAGAAGACCCTGCCATTTTTCTCCTTTCAACCCTCCACAGCCTCTAGAAAAAATTCTCTAATACTGTTGCTTAACCATTTGTCTTAGAAGCAATTATTTTAAAAACAAGTTCAGAATTGGGACTACTGTTTACCATGAATAAGCCTTTAACTGCCTTTATCCATTCCAAAACAGCTGTTGAATTTCATAAACCCAACAATTACCACTTGCTCCCCTCAAGCCCTCAGAGCTTCTCTTAAATGGATTATCTTTGCCTAAATCCATTCTAAACCAAATAGGAAAATATGTTTTCATGAATCCCGTGTGGTAGTTTCAAGGCTAAGATAGTTTTTTTGTTCAGGAATATTTAAGCATTTTTTCCCTGGGCAGTTCAGCTGAGATTCAAACTATCAAACACAGCAATTCAACTTTATAGGAAATATTATTCCAAAATAATATTTTCACATTTGTGCTGGAAGGAAAAGAGGGAATATTATAACAACTTTCATAATTTCTCTGCAATAAGGCTCAGGGTAAGTTGAAAAGTAAGAGAGTTATATACTAGAAGATACAAACAAACCTTAGAGTCTTGCCAAATTGGAATCAAAATCTTAGACATTTCCTAATGCAACAGTGGGCAGGCTGCTTATGTATCTAAGTCTCAGTTTCCTCACTTAAAACAGGACACTTGCTATATATCTAGAGGGATTCATGTGATTATTTTAAAGTAGATACTGCTTGTTACATAGGAAATCCCAGAAATGGTATTATCTCTTATGAATACCCGATTATAATCTTACAGAAAAAGTTGAAGATTCCAAAAGACAACATGTCTTGAACTTAAACTTTAATGCCCCCATCATCCTTTCTCTGTGTCTGTTTTAAGACAGTAACCAAAGAAGAAACACGGGATGTTTGCTCACCTCTGCGCTTGATGGCAGTCCAGAAACAAGGGGCCTGAAGTGATTATTTAGACCGTGTGGCACCCAAAGATAACTTTTGCCTCAAAGATCTTGAGTTAATTTAGGGAGCTCATGGTTATGTGGGATCTGAGAACCTGTAGGAGAGCTGCAGCTGGGGCTATACTGTTAACTGTCTTTGATGCTAAACAAATATTAAGGCTTGCGCTGCACCCCAGAAGATCAGGGAGCATCAGAGAAGTACCTTTGTGCAGATCGTGATCATAAGATTTTAAGTCCCCTGTCTATTCACCTGTGTCCCAGAGGAACAAAATTCTATTGAGTTTTTACCCTCCCCTGCTTGTCTAGCATATACAGGACCCTAAAACCCTGAACTGGTGTCTACAAAAAGGCCACGGAACCCAGAAAACTGTGGATAAAGTTCCAAGAAGACCCAGAACTGAAGGCTTTTATTTTAAATAGTTCACATAGAGAAGTCTGGTGATAACTTGAAATGAATAAAAGGCAATAAGATTATGTAAGGATATTCTCTAGATCTTAAAAAAATCTAATTTTTTTTAAATTGGTAGAGGAAATGAAAGAGAAGATGACAACTTTTAAGAATTGGCAAAAATCAATGGACAGGAATATCACAAAACACAGAGAAAAAATACAAGAATATAAAAAAATCATGGGAGTAAAGTTAACAGTCTGAAGGAAAAATACAGAAGGTTTTATATGCAAATAATAAGAATTTCAGATGAAGGAAAAGGAACAGATGGAGGAAAGAGAATAATCAAGCCAACAATAGACAAAACGTTTTCTAAACTGAAGAAACACTTGAGCTACAGATTGAAAGGGTTCACCATGTCCCAGAAAGGATTAAGGGGGAAAAAAAACCAACATATTTTATATGCATCCTGGTAAATTATTCTGAATTCCTTAAATGAGGTAAACCCTTGTAAGCATCTATACAAAGTAGGTAACTTTTGAAATAAAAGGAATCAGAGTAGCAATAGAACTTATCCAAAATACTAAGAGATAGAAGCTAATATTGACAGAACATTGAGAGAGAGGACTGTAGTCAAGAACCCATCCCCAGATGAGACACCTATCACCAGGGGAAATAAAAGAAGTATATCTCTGGATATGCAGAGATTCTGAGAATATCAACCACATGTTTCCACCTAAGAAAAGTATGTAAGAAGGCAACAAATATCAACTGACCAGGACCGGAGATCTTGGAATAGGAAATGGTGACAAGAGAACAAAAGAGGGCTGAGCCATGTGCCTTGTAAAGCACATAAGTAGATCTATATGGATGATCTCCATGAAGGGGATAGCAATTGATATGTGGTGTTCTAATTATGGATTCTTTTTGGAAGTCTTTTCAATGTAATGTATTTAATTATAAAATACTTTCTACATATATATAACTTATATACATATATATTAAAGTTATAAAGTTGTAAAGCAAAAAAGAAGATAAATATTCAGGAGCCAAACAACTACCTAATTGTCCTAACGCCTTGACACTAGGCTATGACCCCTCTGCCATACTGCACAGGAAGTGGCCACTAAAATTCTCTTGTTTTCCCTGAATTTATGCATCTTAAAAATACGCTTTGTTATTCTTGTTTTTGATATTTATAAAAACTGTCATTAGACTATATACAATTTTATGGAACTTACTTTTAATGCAATAATATGTCCATGAAATCCATTTTTATAGATGATTTGCCTTCACTTAATCAATGAGAATGTTTAAAAATTATCAAATTTTTCACACAATGCTGGTGGAATAGCTAGTTGAAGAAACTTTAAAAGTAAAATCACTGTGTTAGCTGTTTATATGTGCTGTAATTCTCTGTGTTCATAAAGGAAGATAATATGTTAGAGTGCATGTATTCTTCACCCTCCCTTCATCCTCTTCTAGTCTGTAGATTTTGAGGAGATAGTTTAATATTTTTGATTTCAGACATTAAGTTTTCTGTTTTTCTATTTTAAGTTTTCTATTTTTCTATTAACAATCTATTGCGTGAACCCATTGCACTGCTTATCCATTTTCCTCTAAGAGAACATTGGTGGTTACCAGTTACAAACGGTATCATTATGAACAATTGTGTACACATTTCCTGGTGAAAGAGTTTCTCTAAAGAATATGCCAAAGAGTAGAATTAAATATACTGACTTATTGTATATCAATAAGTATCCTTTTTACAAGGTGATACCAAATGTTTATTTTTTTTCAAAGTGATTTTTTTCTCCAATTTTTATTGGTACCAATAATATATGAGTTTCTGCTGAAAATTGCCAAGTTTTGACATTTTCATTAAGTATTCTTAACATCCGAAGCCATGCATTAAAATAGAAAATGTAATGTCTGAAACTAAAAATATTAAGCTATCTCCTCAAAATCGATAGACTAGAAGAGGATGAAGGAAGGGTGAAGAATACATGCACACTAAGATATTATCTTCCTTTATGAACACAGAGAATTACAGCACATATAAACAGCTAACACAGTGATTTTATTTTTAAAGTTTCTTCAACAAGCTATTCCACCAGTGTTGTGTGAAAAATTCAATAATTTTTAAATATTCTCATTGATTAAGAAAAGATATTCTATTAAAAAATGAAGAAAACTCAATAAAATTCAATAGGAAAAAATTCAATAAAAATAACAAATACTCTATGCAGTTTATACTAGATTTTGTATCTGTAAATAATTTTTAAATATCTTTTTAATTAAAATACAAAATGTCTGTTACAATTTATTTTTTGTTAACTATAATTTATCTATCACTTTATATAATGTGAAAAATACAAAAATAAAAGATAAGTTAGCCCAAAAGATTACTAACATTTTAAGAAGAGTTACAGTTCTACTCTATGCTTATGAAACATTCAGAATTCACAAATTATTCTCCAACTATTAAATATAAAGAAAAAAATATTTCAGTTGAAGTTGAGTTATCTGAATTAAGTATAAAGATAATTCCTCCTTGATAGCACCACTGAAGATTACATTTAGTTTCAAGGACTTCTAAGAAGCAGAAGAAATTTTAAATCTTCAAAAGTTCTGTGCTTTTTTTCTTAACTCTTCCTACAATTTCCCTGCCTCTGTGTGTTATCACTTTCTGAGGTCTAGTCACTCCATTTTTATTTTATCTTATCTAAAAAATTATACTGCGTCCCTATTCTCTCCATTTACTTCTTTTTACTTATTTATCTGATCCAGTATTTCCTTTCTTAACTCATAAGCTGCACATTTCTACTTGCTGTCTTCATTTTTCTGTAAGACCAAAATGTTCCTGAATTGATAAATTTAAGCCTGAACTGTATTAGTAAGAAATATTCCCAAAATTTAGGCCCAATCAGCTACCAAAAAATGTAACAAGCCATCAAAATACATAAAATCCATATAATTGAGCTTAAAGAAACCAATAATCTAATAGACATATTAAGTACATTACTTTTGAATTAATAGTAACCATACAAAGGATAAACACTGATTAAAAAGTCACCATGCCAAAACTAAAAACTTTAAAATATAGGAGGTGCCACTTTACAATTGCCTACGGTAGGCAAATATTCAGTCTTTTCTTGACAATCAGCATTGCCTTGATGTTCAAATAATATGAAAATGGAACTTCATAAAAATTCTCAAATCTATGCAAGGCAAAATAAATGTAGTTTAACCAGGAAACTTGAATTTAATTTACAATGTAACTCAAAGGATAAGCAATAAGTAATCTAACATAATTCAGAAGACATCAAAAGTGAGAAGCATCTTGTAGGCTAGAAACTGATGCTTGTTATTATATATCTGCCAACATTTGAACATCTGGAATGTTCAAAGTGAAGATATATACATAATGGGGTCTATCATTTGACAAATGCAAATGCTTTAAAATTAATGTACTAACTAATCACAATGTTCATATCAAGCGATTTGGACCAGTAAGGTAAACATACTTAAGTTTCATAATAAAAGACCTCAATACTATCTCTTGAAAGCTGAATTCTCAACCTTGATTCACATATATCAGTCATTTAAATATGTAGTTTCTGACCATTAGAACTTTAAAACCACTATTTCCTCCTGTAATTTTCAGAAAAAAATAAAAGGAAAATGAAAATAGAGAATTCTCTTCAGTATCATCGTTCAAAATATTCTTACATGTAGGTTTATATTTATAAAGGAATAATACCATCCTGTGTCAGAATTCTGGCCTGTTAACATGCCCATTCTGCAATCCAGCCTCCATACCAACACCTCCAAATGTCATACCCACCCTCTCTTCAAATGGAGTTTAGAGAGACTAAGAACACATGGGCTGCCCACTATAAGAAACTGTCAATTAAATCTCAGAAGTCCATCTTTGCAAGCTCACAATATAGGTAGAGAAACAGGGGAGTAGAACCTCTTATCTATTTTGTATCTTGATTCTGAAGTGCAGTCTTGTCCATGTCCTTTACAGGGCATTGGTCTGTCCTTCAGCCGTGGATTGTAAGAATACTGTGCTGATACTACCACACAGAGTTTCAGGCCACTTTCAATCTCTCCAGGGAAAAAAAAGAGTTTTGTCTTCAATTAGAATCCAGCTTAATTACGGCTTATTTATTTGTAAGCCTATATCTTTACCCAAAGAAACACACATACACATATATACACACACACACATTGTTATTGAAAGTTTAATGTCATAGACCATAGCTTCAGATAAATCAAAAGAAGACTCAGAAAATTTAATTAATCTAATTTATACTTTAATTTTATTCAACTAAATTTTTAATTTGAAGTGGAATGACTCTCAAAATCTGTTGGAATCTATAAAATATTCAACCAACATGAGAGTGCTTTTGACTTTTTGGCTTACAGACCCAGAAACAATTATGGATAGGTATATTTTAATAAAAGCTATCGCTAAACAAAAAATATCTAAAATTAAAAATTAGATTACAGACAGTTGCTAGGTTGGACGCTTCCTTCATTTTGTACCCTATAGCAAATCTATCAGCAAATATGGTGGGTTCTTGTTTCCAAACATCTTGCAGGCATTATTCATTTACTTGACAAATATATATGTAACATCTAATAAATACCAAGCACTATGCTAGTAACAGAGACATAGTGGTAAGCAAAATGGACTACGTCTTGGCCTCCTTTAAGTCTTGGCCCCCTGAGCCTGTATTCTGTAATGTTCTGCTGCTACGAGTAAGGGCTATAAAGAAAAATATATCGGGGAAAGGAAATGTTAGAAGATGTTACTACAGTTATGGGAATTACAACCCAAAGAAGTAGCAGTTGATCAAAGCCTGAGTGATGTAAGGAACTGAGCCTTCCTCCACACATGTGCAAAGGACCTGGGGTCCTCACTGAGGTTCACAAATACTACTTCACATCATACTATTTTATAGTTCTCTCCCTAAAATGCCTTCAAACTCCTGCCGTCTTTTAGAATACACGGAGTTATTTGTGTTGCCTTAGTCCTTTCTCCAAAAGCTCCAGTCAACATTCAACTTCTACTTTTTTTTTTTTTTTTTTTTTTTTTTTGAGAAGGGATCTCGCTGTCACCCAGGCTGGAGTGCAGTGGCGCGATCTCGGCTCACTGCAGGCTCCGCCCCCCGGGGTTCACGCCATTCTCCTGCCTCACCTGCCGAATAGCTGGGACTACAGGCGCCCGCCACCACGCCCGGCTAATTTTTTGTATTTTTAGTAGAGACTGGGTTTCACCGTGTTAGCCAGGATGGTCTCGAT
This sequence comes from Homo sapiens, assembly GCF_000001405.40. Taxonomy (NCBI): domain Eukaryota; kingdom Metazoa; phylum Chordata; class Mammalia; order Primates; family Hominidae; genus Homo; species Homo sapiens. Next base: position 75,115,088 of record NC_000012.12, read on the forward strand.
CTCCTGACCTCGTGATCCACCCGCCTGGGCCTCCCAAAGTGCTGGGATTACAAGCGTGAGCCACCGCGCCCTGCCCAACTTCTACTTTTGATGACTAGCTCTGTATTCACTTACTGTGATCTGTACCAAATGTCATTGCACTTAGAATCTAAAAGAGAAAACTGATACTTATGAAACTTCTAATCTGAACCAGGATCTCAGCCAGTAATCCTTCCACACATTATCTGATTTTATCTTCACGATACTTCTATGAGGTAGGCATGGTTATTCAATTTTACAGATGAAGAAGCTGAGCTTCTGAGAGATGCTGATCATACATCTATTAAATGGCAAATCCAAAATCTGTACTCTGTTTTGAATAACTCTAAATTTCATCTACTTCATTTTGTTTATTTACTTATTTATTTATGCTCCCATATCAAAAACAAAGTTTGTCCCATGTCTCGTTACCAAGTTTGGGAGCCAGATGATTATTAGTGCTTTTGCCAGGAATTCTGTTCATCTTCTCCTCTGCATATCAAAGTCTTCAGGGGCTAGCATGTTAGAATACTTTTCCGAATTAGTTCAGGTCACGTCAATGCATCTTCTCTAAACTGGTACACTTGGAATCAGAATTGCAGAGATTTGTACCTATTTATTTCTCTACTTGTGTGATTCTTCGTATCTTTTTTTAAACAAAATTATTTAATTATTTAAACAAAATTATTTAAGAAACAAAATTATTAAGAATGAGAGCTCTGGACACCCTCCCCCCAAAATAATGAATATAATTACAATATTGTGCATACCTGAAACTCATCTCTGGACTCCCTGCTTTGAATGCATTTATTTAAACTACTCAAGGAAATTACAGGTTGCTTGAGCGCAGCAACTATAATTTATTTTTTCTTGAGCTCCCTGCAGTGCCTGGAACAGTGCCGAATAAATACTAAGTGACTGGCCTGTCAAGGAACCTTGTGCTTTATATTTTTAAAGTGATAGGTTTTCAGCATAAACCCATCTAATTTCAATAAAAATGTTGTATGCATTTTGCAGCAACCAAAGATCAGGGGATTATACCTTTACAAAGGGAGCACAAAATGGTTCAGCATCACCATTTGAGGGTCATCAAGCAATGAATTCCAAAGACGGTTGCAGGACCTGAATTTACATGTTTCAAAGGAGGGTCCGAAGGGAACCAGAAAGACAGCTGAACTCAGCTGGGAAATCTCATACTCTGCCTCAAAGAGAATATCAGAAGAAAATGTACTCTTAGTGATATTGTTGGAATTGTTATTATTAAAATAATAATAATAAAGTTAAGGGAAATACGATTAGACTCCAGAAAGAAGACTATAAAAGCAGCTACTAAAAATTGCTGTTATTAATTCTCCTTCCAATTCACATAACATTATTTTCTTATTCAGATTCAAATGAAATGAACATTCTGAGAAAACTGGCTGAATATACATATTCCAATAGAGGAAGATACTATAATAGCAAAACAACATTTAAAAATAGCTAAATAGGAGCAGTGGAAATAAAAGACAAAACATGATATTGTATCTTGAAATTCAGATCACTAAATAACAAAAGGACATTTAAAAGTAGAACAAAAGGGTCACATAGGAAAGGCTGATTAAAACGATGCCATTCCCAACATTCTCTGTCCTGGCAGTCTCAGCCTGTAGCCTGTACCCACCCTTCTTAACGGACACCATATGCTGACCCTCCTCCCCCGGGCCAACACACACATATCTGCAACTCATGGTTGATGCAACTAATTCCCTGCTGCCCACCTGCCTCCAAAGAAAACAGCTTTGCGTTCATCATCTCACTTTAAAGGGTAGCATCTCATCTGCTCTAGCTATCATTTCCAGTCTAGCATAAGAAAGCTTCCCTTACAATTGTTCTTCCTACGATTCCATTCACATAGCAACACATTTTTTTTCTTCTGTTTTGGGCACAGTTACTCCCTGACTCTCATTATCACCAGTAATTGGGCTTTCTTGCATTGTGGTTTAAAAAAAAAATAAAGGAAAGAGAAGACAAAAAGAAAGAAATAACTTCCAGATTTAATTATACATTTGTCTCTGTACACTGAGAAGCTTCTGGGTTTAAAGGCTTACTGTTTTTTATGCTTTCCGACGCTTTGAGAAGTTTTGTTTTGAATTCATTTTGCCTGCTCCTTTCAAAATATATAAAGGAGAAAATCTGGAAAAAATACAAGCTGCACTGTCAACAGGCTGGTCCTGCATTTCTTTTATTATCTTGACTACAACCACCAATGGGATAGCAGACAATTTACATAAATTTTCTATAAAACAACTGTCCCCCCAAAAAGACTGCAACACTGACTTTCTTTTGTAGCAATTGTTAGTCTCATGGGTAGTCTCGAAGAGTCCAATAAATGGCTTTATAGTCAAAAGCTATTTTTCCACATCCCAGTCACTTCGCTACAGTTTTCATCATTACTTACTCCTTAACAAAGGTAGAGAGTATTCAGGGAATTTTTTAAGAAAAAGAAATTAGCAATACATAAGAGCAAACTCAAATATTAGAACTCTTAGGTTTGGAAGGATAAGGTGGAGAGGGCAATAGTTAAAGTTTAAATCAATTAAATAATAATATATTACACATATTTATTCTAATAATATATAATAGCATATACACACTCTTTAACATTTATAATGGCATGTAAATATGGAAACTATAATGCCTTCTTCATCTGTTTTTAAACGAAGATCATATGAGGTAATACTTAAAAGTGTTTAAAAGAATGCATGCCATAATTTAGGGCAATGAAGTTTGGGCATTACACAACTAAAGAGGTTACTACTCACCCATACCACAAATTGGTCCCCTGGAGTTGTACAACTCAGTCATCCTGCATAGTAATCAATATATGTTAAAATTATTTGTCTATGTATGTCCCTACCCCATCATGCTGGACTGTCTCAAAACAAGACTCATCCTTCATTTTTGTAACTCAGTCCTAACACAAGGCCTTCAAAGGTAAGCAATGGCATTTTTAGAGCTTCACAACATCTCTAAAATTTAGATAGAGCAGAAATTACAATCTCATTTAGACAAATCAAGAAGCCAAGTCTCAGAGAGTATAAGTGACTTAATTAAGGTCTTTCAGTTAAATGAGCATATACTGAGCACCATTACAGAATAACCTACAATGAGCCAGACTTCAAGGGTACAGCTGAGAACAATACATGCACGATACTACAGAATAGCTAACATTTCAATGGAGAGAAACAGATAATAGCAGGTAAACAAATAAATTTAAATAACTTCAGATATTACAAATTAGCAAAATGAAGACAATAAGGTGGGTGGCAGGTTTATATAATGTACTTGGGACAAGCCCCTCTAAAGAGTGAAAATTTCAACCTCATTGCTGAGGGCTGTCATGTAAGAATTAGGACAAGCATTACAAGCAGAAGAAAGTCAAAGCTCAAGACCTGAAGCATGCTGGCAAAGAGCAGAAAGAAGACCAGTGGGGCCAGAATGCTGTGAGGAAGCAGTAGTTTTTAGGAAGAAGTCAGAAGGAAAGGCTGGGCATTAGAGGTCATGGTAAAGAAAACAGATTTTATTCTAGTTAAGAAGGGAAGCAGTGAGATTTAATTTAAACTTTAGAAAACTTAATGCAGCTAATATGGAGTAAGTGAGGTAACAAAGTGACAGAAAAATCGGTTAAGGATTTAGTGCAGTAATCCAGGAGAGAGACTATGTTTTGTATTATATCCCTTTCTACCACTGTAAGAGACAGAACATCTAACCGGACAGAATATAATAGAGATTAAATCTGACATCCCTGAATTTTATGCTTTCACGGTTTATAGGCAGAGGAAACTACACTGGAAAAGGAGAAATTTGCTTACAAAACAAGTATGATGCCTACACCTTACTTTTGATCAACTCCATGGTAAGTTAACAGGCCTGGTGAGAATCCATCTAAATCATAGTGGGACACTGAAATTACAAAGAATAAAACAACGAACCAATTAATTGAAATGGTACATGGAATGTGTTTGCTGAATACCCCCTTCCATGGTATCCTTTAAGTCATTTCCTTTTCACAAAATGGCCCTGTCAAATAGATTAATATTATACACAATGGGGTAACTGACAGACTGGGATCTGAGGCTGCTCACTCTTGTTTTCAGGAATATAACAAAAACAGCATGCAGAGGCTGCCAAATGAAGCATTCATAGGTAACTTCAAAATGTAGGTTTTGTTTAAAATGTGGCTTTGCCCAAAACTAATCACTGCTAGGAAGGTGGATATTTTCTCTCTAGTAGAGATCGTGAAAAGGGTTAGTTAAGTGCTTTCCCTTACAATGTCTCACATGATCCTCAAAATAACACTGTAATATAATATTATAATAATTGTTATCTTCATTATTCAGATGAATAAACATATTCAGAGAAACTGGTGACTTAACCATGAAAACTTAACCATAACGGGTGAAGTGGGCCAGAATTTGAAACCAGTTCAACTTTCAAGGTCATGTTACTTCTATCATTCTGCATTGTTTGCATTTAGTAAAGACTCTTGCCCCAGAGAGCTGCATAGGTCCAGGGTAGACTGCATAGGCTTTGAGGTTGTTCTGTGCACCAACTCTGCTCCTTCACTTGGAAAGCTTTCCGTATCTGAAAGTTTTCAGTTTCCTCATATATAAAATGGTAATAACAACCTCCACCACAAAGATTTTCTTTGAGAATTAAGACAACATAAGCAAAAAGTTTAGTGTAATATTTTGGTCAACAACAGTAACTAAATACATGGTAGTTTAAGAAACAGATGACCCTTTCAACTGAATAAAGATATCTGATTATATCTGATAATAATTCTGATTATCTTTAGAATACAACTATAAAACCAAATCCGGCAAAATGTGAATCAAAGAGTTATCATGCTCTGCATAAAGCTTTCGAAGAGGATTTCCAGCCCATCATCTCCATCTCGCTTATAATTAATATAAGACTGGGGATTCAAATGCAATAAATACAGAATGAATAAAACAGAAGGCTAAGTCTCTCATGAGCTTCAGTTTGATATTTCTAGTCATTTGCATTTAAGGGGAATATAGAACAACACGTTTTCCATTATCCCCAAATACTCTATCATTTTAATAGTTGCAGAGATTCCACGGTATAGCTACAGTGTCTTGTCAATATTCACAACTGATTTATGTTGCAGTATAGACCACAGACAGATTCCTGGGCATCTTGGCATTGAGGCTTGGCAGAAAGCCTCCTGCCCTGGCCTTGAACCAGGAGTCATAGACTCCCCGCTGCTGGCATACCACAACCCTATATTCTAAATCTGGCAAGATTTACAGCTGGTATTGCACATAGCAGCATTTCTTTGTAATGCCATTTCTTAAGCCCAGCCAGTTCTTTATACTGCTGGAAAAAATCCATATGCTATCTCTAAATCCTAGGGACTAGCACTCTTGAACTTCTGAAGCTGCTTGGAGTAAGATCACAACTGAAGCCAAAGCCATGAAAAGAATATCCTGTCCCTGACACAGAAGTGCTAAAATTGATGGAAGACTCTGGCAACAAGGAGAGGCTCTTACAAAAGACTCCTTGGCATGTGATTATTAATTACCCTCCCAGGAAAGGCAGTTGCTGGACCTTAGTAAGTGTTTCTTGTAAGAAGAGATATGGGAATTATTTGAGAGGGGCTCCATAGTATGTTTTGCAGAGGGCCTTGAGATTGTACTCTTGATTATTAGCAGCTTACATCTTTTCATTTCTTTTTCCATTGCAATACTTTTTCCTTAAGTGAGAGCTCTGAGTATGAATCAACAAAAGACTTAACCCTATACATTTTTTAATAACAGATGTAACTATATTGTATCCCCATTTCATTTCCCTCTGCAACCAATATAGGGCAACTTTCCAATAGCCACCATTTGCACAGTGTCTGTATACAGCTCTCTCTGGACCACGGTATCCATGATGCTAGGACTGGCCTTGGTACCCTCTGTGTTTCCATTCCTAACCCTTACAATGTTTCCAGTTCTCAGTTTATCTCACTCCTATTTCCTAATGCTACGAATATTCATGATCAGTGCTATTGAATTCCTGACTTGGCTCTTAAATACATATTTGATTTCAATGAATTTCCTGTTAATTACAGCTGCTTTGTTTTCAAATTTTCCCTTTTGGGTCTCATAAAGAAACCAAGCATTCTGTCTTCCAATGTCAGCTGATTTAGGACAATTTGCTAAGTCCTCTTTTTCATTCTGCAATTAGTGAGCACAGGGCCAAGCATAGTGTGAAGCACTAAAGACAATACAGTGAAAAATAGGCATGATCTCTGCCCTCAAGAAGGAATGGATACTAAACAAGTAATCACACACATAACTAGAAAATGTAAGTTTTCATATGAGCTAGGAAAATAAATATAGGGGTGGGAGGCAGAAAAGGAAGTTTCCCTGAGGAAGTGATTGCCTTTGTCACAGGACCATAATCACTCTTTTTTGTTTAATTGTGCATTTTGATTAGCTATTGAAAGCAGAATGTTGTATTAGTTGGGTTAATATTCAGCATGTGATTCAGATACTCTGCAGCTGTGCAGAGAGAGCTAAGTCCTGTTTCTTTTGAAATTTCCTATGGAATAGAAGCAATCATTCCCATGGGCATATTGGATAGATTAAAGTGAGTGTTATTCACTTGTCAGCTCAATTGTAATATCAGAGCAAAGTTCTCCATTCTGTTTCTGGCATTCACCATGATCCTTGACCACCTCTACTTTACAGAAAAGAAAAGTGAGGCCCTTTTTATTACTGAGTTTTCCCAAAGATCTCTGCAAGTTCAAGAATGCAGAACTCTTGGTTATCAGCTTCTTGAACACTGACTCAGTGGACTCAGTGTCAAGTGTGAGTGATAGGAATCCTCACTTGGAGGCCACTGCTGACACCACTTACCTATTAGACCATACAGTGACCTAGCCAAAGTACTTAGAAGAATGGAACAAGGAAAGAGAAGGACCATCTGGAGAAATCACAGGTCAACATCCACTACCACCAAGACAAAACTCTCAGTCCTCTTACAAGAACAGTGGAGACATCTCTGCCCTCTTATAGATCCATGGACAACAGAGTTCATTTGTTTGTGTTGGGGAGAAGGGAAATGGGAGCTGTTTTGTACCAGGCATGACAGGAGGTACCCTCCAAAATTGGCCATTCAAATATCACAACTGTCTTATGAGTAGGCACTATAATTCCCATTTCACAAAGAAACTGAGTCCCAGCACTATTTATAAGGTAGAAAGAGAAGAGCCCATTTCAGAACTCATGTAGGTGAGTAACATAAGAATGAGCATATAATCAAAGCAGCACAGAATTGGAGATCAAAGAGTAAGGCTAAAGTCCTAACTCTTCCCATCTATGAATATGTGATCTTAGACATTCATTAATCCTATGAACTGATCCGTAGTCCTACATTTAAGATAAGGAAAGTAGAATTCATCTCCTCCACATGGCTTTAGAATCAAAGAAAATCATGTCAAAGCATATGAAAATCTATTATAGAATTTTCGTAGTTGGTCTGTTAGGGCAAATAAAGACTATTACAATTAAAAGACATCAAAGCAAACCAGCAAGTACAAACATGTTTTTGTTCATCTATGAAATATTCATTATCATCTAGTATTTGCTAAGGCTGTATATTGAAACATCAGATACTAGTAAAAATCGGAAAGCGGAAAAGATATCAGAAAGTGGTAAAGGTTATAATTTTACCAAAACAACATATTCTTTGTAACTTAGTTTTATTTTCACAAGAGACTATTTTATTTAATTCAGGTCTTATGCCAATCTGCCTTGATAATTTACAAGGCTATTTTATCCACTTTTATATTGTTTAAATTGAGTTTTTAGCTAATTCTAAGTGAAATAAAATCTGTATCTAACCAGATCAAATAATTACGCTAAATTAAATATATTCCTTTAAAAAGTAAGTACAAATTTTATTTAAAAATAAATAAATAAAATGAAATAAAGATTGGAATATAGGCCTTTAAAAGATGATTTTTCTCTAATTTCATTACATAAATTTAAGATGCCACTTTAAGTTTCAGCTTCAAAATCAGGTACAGAAGAGACATGCATGAAAAAATAATTGTTTTCAAGGAAGTTTTTACTGCATAGATTAAGCCTAAAGACTCAGCTAGTTTAATTGGCTTAGAATTAATGATATGTAAATCTAAGTTGAGTATTGCTTGAAACCAGTTCTATTCTTAATAGCATAAAAATAGATACAATAAAATACTTCTCTTCTAATTAAATGTTTTAAAAATACACTTAAGGAGAAGAGCAAAACAAACAGTTTGGTATCCACCCGTCATCCTAAGCAACCACTTTCCCAAATGCCTCCTTTAGAACTGAACAGGCAGTTTCTAACCCTTAATTCTGCCCTATGTTATCTTCCCTAATTATTCATTCTGTCAAGGAAACCAATAGAGCAACATCCTCTCTCCTTTTTCCTAGGGAACATCCCAAATGTGTCTGAGGACAAACTTTATCGTCCTGATTCTAAACCAATAGAGTACAACCCAGTATAGTCTGAGTATACCACCACAACTGAGGTATGCACCATCCTACTATCTTCTCTTCTTTAATTTTTTCCTACCACGGTGGAAAACTTGGAGACCTGATTCTCTTAGGAACCCCAGGGATCAGTGAGCATTACACAGAATCAAAGAAAACAGGAGAAACTTCAAAATCAGCCAAAACTCTATACATTGGTTATAGAGGAAGTTCTCCAAAGGTTGTCAAAAGCCAAAATTGAATACCACTTTTGCAACACAGTGCAGCCATTCTTCAATCAACACTACGATTTCTAAAATCTTATATGTTCCCCATTCATCTAATCAAGCAAATAAAATTTTACCTAAAATAACTTAAAAAAACTCACCACATTTCTTAAAAAAGGTCAAAGCGTTCAAATCTTCCTGCATGAAACTTGATCTTCTGTGTTCAGGGTTTGGTTCTGTATGTGCTGAAGCCACTTGCTTTCCCTAAATAAATTTTTACATTGTATATAACTCCAGAGGAAAAAGCAATCTGTCCTCTGCAGATCAATGTTTATGCTTCAAAGAAGAACAGACATATGATTAATCTAGGGGATTTGTTCACCCCTAAACACCTTTACACTGTATGTTTTTTAAAGTTAAAAGGCTCCAGGTTTACTTGATCAAAATCTTTAGCTCTATGAAAATTTACTACCCAGCAGCTAACCAGCTGTTTAATACTTTCACTAAGGCCGATTGCAATAACAGGGATTTAATGATATAAAAACATGAACTCTTGGTAGAGAGGACTTTTAATATGCTTTAATGGGTTATTAAGGATTAAGAGTCTGAGATTATTTAAGTATGCAGTCATACAGAGAAACAAAATAATGGGCTCTGGATATCCCTCGCAGATGTATGATTCTGCAGAAATAAGCCATGGCACAGGTGAGTCTTTGAAGATAAAGATGTTTTATATACATTAAAGAAGGATTAAGATATAAATTCAAGCCATTGTGATTAAATCTCAATGTGCTACCAGACTCATAAAATTTAAAATTTTTTTAAAAAATTTGCTTTCTTATTAGTGGTTATAACATTCTGTACAAAAGTTTATAATCTTCCCACCAAAATTTATCATTCTTGATATATTTCTTACTTTCTTAGCTTGTTTCTTTATCTTCATTGTGTGGAGTATACCTTAATAAGAATTTATCGGCCGGGCGCGGTGGCTCACGCCTGTAATCCCAGCACTTTGGGAGGTCGAGGCGGGTGGATCACGAGGTCAGGAGATCGAGACCATCTTGGCTAACACGGTGAAACCCCGTCTCTACTAAAAATACAAAAAAAATTAGCCGGGCGTTGTGGCGGGTGCCTGTAGTCCTAGCTATGCGGGAGGCTGAAGCAGGAGAATGGCGTGAACCCAGGAGGCGGAGCTTGAAGTGAGCCAAGATCGCACCACTGCACTCCAGCCTGGGCTACACACTGAGACTCCGTCTCAAAAAAAAATTAATCAAAGTTTCTGGGCAAAAATGGTAACCAAGCAGGCAAAGAACATCAAATAGGTTCAGATGACTGACACATGTTCTACCGTGACTGGGAATAATTATACCAACTAGAAAACTCATGAGGCTACCATTCTCCTGTACCAATTTGTTCACAAGGGTGGATAATAAATAGATCAAAAAAGTATACAAAAGCACAAATACAGATTTTGAAAATAATCTCTAGGTCTTAAACTCGAATCAAAATTAGACAAACCGCTTTTGACTTATGAACCAATGATTAGGACCACATGATTATACTGTCATTCTTTTTAATAGAAACTTTTCAATATACCCACAATTAAAATTAATCAACTGTGTTTTTTCAGCAGAAGATCCAAACCAAGTGAGAAACAGAGGAGCAGATGGGTGTCTTAACTGCTCTATTTGCATATCCTTATGGAATGGTGAAATCTTTCATGTTTGGATATTTCTACTTCACAAAGTGATCATTCTGAATATGAGACATTGCGCTATGCCTTCTGTTTTCATATCACTTTTTGCGAGGTAATTAGCTAGCACTATTAGAATTTGTAGGGTCAGTCATGAGAAGAATTGTGAAGTACATTTCATGGTCATTGCCAATTTACGTGCCAAACTCACCTTTTGGATTCCCTTTTCTTTTTCATGTGTACCATTATCAAACTATATACACTCAGATTACTGGATCACACCTTCAAACTGAATTCATCTCTCTTCCTCATTCCTCATCAGAATTCTGGGCTCTCTCACCTAGGCTCATCCATTGGGGAATCAAGTGGTCAAATATAAAATTCTGTTTGACTATTATCCTTTGAATTTATAAAGCAATTTAATATATATTATCTCATTTTTTATAATAACACCATACTATAAATATTATTTTCTTTCTTTTAAACAATGAGGTAACTAAGAACAAAAGATCCAGAAGATGGATATCTGATGAGCTTATGAGCAAAACTAAAAAACCCGAGTCTCTCTTCTCTCAATCTCATGTGCTTACTACTACACAAAGCAGTAAACAAATTTGTCTTTATAGCATAACCTAGGGCGACATGAATTACTTTCAAATGCATGTTTGCTACATTGAAGATGGTAAAACTAATAGTCAGTTAATGTGTTATCTCCCTGATAATATTTGCATTTTTAAAAAGAATAACATGGTAAACTATGTCTTTTAAATAAGAAAATGAATTTTTCAACATTGAAATCTCTTTATTCACGCACATATTTACTCAACAAATTTTTACTAAACTACCTACAATGTGTCAGACACTGTACAAGGTGCTAAGAATACAACTTGAATAAAGCATTTTTATATCCCTAAGGATTTTATGTAACAGAAAACTTAAAAACACTATTGATTACAGTATAGTGTGATAAATTATAAAAAGAGGATTTCCACAGGATGTTATGGAAACAAAGGGCAGTTAATAAGAGGGGGAGAATGTTCCAGGCACTTAGGAGTTTATAAAGAAGGTAGAAATAGCATGAGACGTGGAAGGAACAACAAGACATTCAGAATCGTTCTGGCACAAAGATGAGTCTGAAAATGAAGGGTCTCATGGGTTAAGCTTAAGATTTTAAATCTTATCTTAAACACTATAGGGTCCCATCAAAAGTTATAAACAAGAACATTCAGGATAAGATATTTGTTATACAAATATTATTCTAGCAGTAAAGAAAATTAGAAACACGCCTTTAGAAAAGCATTTGGGGCAGGAAGGACTTCCTAGGGTTCTTAAATCACATGGTATAGAGCCAACTCTTTTATCTGTAATTTTCCAGGCATGACACTGGCATATTAAAAGAAAAACTTACGTATAATAATCGAAAAGCTTCGAGCTTTCCATCATGCCTACTAAAACAGTGCTGTGTTAAATGTGCCCTGGTCTAGTTAATGTATTGTGTATTTCTAAAAATCTTTGCTTTCTAGTTTGTCTCAGTTAGTGTTTTGGGTTTGGCACTTGTCTCAAAGAGTTATGAATGGGAACTCAAGGTGGAAATAACAGAATACAGTCTGTAACAATCTCTGTACTGTTGCAAAAGTCACATTTTAACAAAGCGAGAATTAGTAGTTACATGACGGTGCTAGTTGAAAATGTAGCTCAAATTAAATTCAAGCAACATTGAAAATTACAGGATCCCTCACTTGCTTTCAGAGAAAAAGGTCAGTTCTTAGCTGCTGACAAGAAGAGAAAAAGGAGGTTGATATTTAAGGAAAATTGCCTATGGCTTTATGGAACTACGGAGACAACAGGCAGTCTCAATAGTCTGTATTATTTCATTCTAGTGATTGGAATTAATAAATAATTGAACATGTCAGTTGAAAATATAAATAAAAGGGAAGGGAAGGGAACTAGTTTGATCAGGTAAGCAAAACATGTAGACTCCCATTGCCAAACTGAACAGCTTCAAGAGGGCCAGGAGGCAAATAAAGGCATTGACCTTAGAACTGAGAAGAATAAAAACTAGACTTGGTAGATAAGTAAATGTGGGGCAGCAAACAGTTCTTTCTCTAAAATGAGGAGGCAGGTGAAAGAGACACAAAATGTGTCATGGTTTTTACCTGTACAAAGGCTGTAGCCATATAAAAATACATAGTGGAGACTTTTCTCCAAGCTAAGAAAGAGCATCACACCACAACCACTAATAAAGGTCATAATGATGAACATCTTCTTTAATATTAAAGTGTCATAGCAATGAAAATATCTAGTAATGTAACAGGATTTCCCAGTTTCAGTTGCAATATTGTGGAAAAATCTTATTACCAGACTACCTCTGCAATCTATTTTCTATTACTTTTTCTCCAAATGAATCTACTTTTCTTATTATAATATCTTAAACCTGAAAATATTCACATAATAGATTTCAAATGAGAATGGCAATGATAAAGAAAAATCTTCCATGTAATAATCACAAAATTATACAATGAAAAATAATAACTCAAATTATATGTAATTCTCTATGGCCCACAATGGAAATCTATTATATTCACTCAGAAGTAGAAATATATTCAACATAAAATGAAATTATTTTAAATATCTAAATAAGCCTTATTTCTGCAGAAAATTGTCCATGACCAAAGCAGTGTAAAAATTGGAGGTGTAAATTCTTAACTGGCCAGCCTCACATCCCCATATGCTTTAAAAACCTACCAGGAAAGAGCAAGAAGTTTGCATTAGCATATGTGGACCTCCAAAAATTACTCATTATTTCGTGATTCCAACACCCAATTTACAAAATTAGTTAACATACCGAGTCAGCAAATACTCCTATTAAATATTGTTATAAAAAACAATACTTGGAGAATTAAAGTCATAGTTTTAACTGTAAGAACCTACTCAAAGAAGGGATTAAATAAAACAAAACGGGTCAAAAAATTCTTTGTTCCCAAAGACAGCAGAGCATATTTGCACATCAGGATTTTTAGATTTTTACATTTATACAAGCCATACCCAATCTCCTCTGTTCAGAAGAAAAGAAAATCATACTTAGGGTTTTGTTCTTCAAATCCTACAACAGGAAAAAAAACAGATATTTAAGCTTCAGAATGGTTTTCACTGCCTGGTTATGTTAGTCAAAAAAAAAGGTTAAGCTTTAAACTCATTAATTTCATATAGGAGGGATGGAGAAATGCATACAATCATATAATCACCAGTGGTGAGCCCCATTGTCTCTTGATTCATGCTTCATTTATTCCCATGTTTTCTCTAGAGAAGATGCAATTAGCCTCTCACATGCTAATCAGATGCAATGGCTTCATGCTTCTCAGCATTTCAATTGATATTGATCCCTGAAACTAAGGTCAGGCTGTCACCAAATAGGAACATATTCTTTACTGACTTTCACAAGCCAAGATACTTTCATGTTGGAGAAACAGGCCAAATAGCCATTTAAAGCATGGTTCATAATGAGGTTACCAGGGTGCCAACTTGAAATCCTTGTCAGCTAGTAATAGTTGCTCTATCACTTGGTTATACATTTCATCCCTAACTCCTCTCAAGCTACTGTCTTATAAAGACGGGTTATGGTATCAAGGGCAAAGGAACAGTGGCAGATCAGCGCAAACAAACTAACCACCAGATGAACTAGTCCTCAAGTACATTGCACAGCCAGGGAGCCGGGGTGCCATGACGCTAACAGGCTGCAGAAGAGTTGCCCCCTCAACCAACTCTACCATGATTGCCAGTTAGCCTGGTAATAAATTAACAAACATCCAGTGATTTATATTTTATGGATAAAATGGCTTTTATTGAGCTCGTAACTTCCCTACCATTCAGTGTACCAAGTGCTAAGTATTAAGTACACATTGTGCTTTCATTGGTGCTTAAATCTTATCTTGTTCGTTCTAACTTCCTTAAAGGTAGGGCTGTGTGTCTAGCTTTGTAAACACACAGGGCTGTGTGTGTATTCTTTTGGTTCCTTTGTCAGTGCATACCACAATACTTGGCATACAAGAAGTATTTCATATACACAAGTTGAAATTGAGTAAAGTGAGATGAGAAAGTAGAAACTGTACTGGGTGAAGAAATAAAATGATTTTCTGAAATCTCTTTCATGATGTGGATATCACGCAAAAAAAAATGGAGATGGAGAGTGCTAGAAACAAAACAATCTGAATGCCCATAATAATCAGTATACCAATAAGACATTCATGAAATGATGCAATGCCTATGACTTTACTGTAGTTTAATCCATTTTAGAAGGCTGAGAAATTTATGGCAGCATGGCAATTTAGGTATGTGGTTGACTTGATAAGTATCTAAAGAAACATGCAAAAAGAAATCTCATGAATAGTTTCCTAAAGATTATTAGGTCCATATAACACTACCTGAATTCTGTATAGTACCCATAATATGCCAGCCTTTATTCAATCTACAAAATAGTTCTTTTTCTGTTTACCCTTCAGGGTCACCTGCCATGTTTTAAGTGTAGGGAACTGTCCTAATTGGTTCTAAGGTGATATTCCAAAACAGGTCCTGTACCCCAATCTAAAAACTATCTATGTATAATTTCCCAAAGAGATTAGAAACTAATCATAACACATTTTGAGTCTTATTTCATATAATTTTATAAAGATGCACACACACGTACATATACACACACATGTATTTATATCTCTTTCAATTCTTCATCCTCCATTAGGTCTGTCTCCTCTATGTTTCTTTCATACTCTCAATTATAACATTTATAATGGCATAATAATAATTTATGTACATGGTTTTATTTTCTACCAGTCCATAAGCTTTTTTGAGAATCTGTTTTCTATTTATCTCTCTCATCCCAGGGCCTAAACTACATAACACAACACAACATAGCTCTATATAAAATAAACAAATGAATGAATGGTGTAACTAAGCTTTATGCTAGCACCAGTAATAGGAAATGTTACGGTTGTAAAGATGAATAAAACCTAAATCATGCTCTGAATGAGGCTACAGAAATTATTATAACATAGAAAGTGATGAACACATCAATAAGAAATTATTATAAGGGTGTGGTTAACAGCAAATTCATTTCCATCAGGTGGATATTAAAATCACAGGTTATCCGTATTTGTGAGGACAAGGATTTTTTATTTGACTTGGGTATATACACATTTTAAAATCATACAGAAGTTTTCACATATTGTGAAAGGACTCCTAGTAATAAAAAAAAAAAAAAACAATGCACATGGGCATGGTAAAATGAGGCAGGAAAGACAGATAGGGAAGCTCAGATTTAGTCTACCCTGTAATCCATATCAGCTCACTGGCAATCCTGAGTGAATGACCAACATCTGCCATTCACAGACAAATCAATCCCATCTGTTACGCCTCCTGTTTGGGTGCACCAATGCAATGATGTGTAGAATACCCTTTGGGATATAACTAGAATAAACATATGTTGAGAAAAGGCCTGAGGCTTGGGAGTAGTCATGGTACTTTGCAAATTATCCACCAAAATAAACAAAACTAGATGATCATAAATTTTCACATACATGCTGTAACACGTCAGCGAAAATGCCTTAACTAATTACAAAGTGACTCAAAGCATAAAGAAGAAAATATTTCACAGGAAAGATGACTACATTTTTTACTGGCATCTTGAAATTTGCCTTTCAAAATCTACCCAGAAATCAAAAAAGTACATATGAACTTTATAATAATTTATGATAGATCTTATTCTCAAATAGTAATTACATTATTTATTCCTTACACTTAGCAAAAGCATGCTTTTAAAAAATTGTTGGATGATCTTAAAACTAAAGAACTACTGAAAGCAGTGGCTTATAGCAGTAGGCAGAATGGGCCCTCAAATAATGTCCTCAGACTTGTGAATTTGTTATGTTACATGTCAAAAGGGATTTTGCAAATATAATTAAGGTTATGGACATTAAATAGGGAGATTATCCTGGATTATCTGGGTGGGTTCAATCTAATAGATGAGCCCCTAAATGCAGAGCATTTTCTCTGGCTGGTGGTAGAGAGATGTGGCAGAAAGAAAAGTTAAAAAAATTCAAAGGATGAGAAGAACTCAACACATTGTTGCTGGAGGGGGCTACCCAGGAAGCATAACAAGGAAGTCAGGCCCTGTAGGAGTGAAGATGGCCCTCTGACAGCTAGTAAGGAAAGAGGGACCTCAGTTCTACAGGCACAAAGAACTGAATTCATCCAACATCTGAATGAGCTTCACGGTAGAATCTCTCCTAGAGACAGGAACACAGCCCAGGTGACACTCTGATTTCAGCCCTGCAAAACCTTCAGGAAGGAATACCGTTGAGCCAGCTTTGCGTGGACTTCTGCCCCACAAAACTGTGAGATAATAAATGGATGTTATTTTAAACCACGAAGATTGTGTTAATTTGTTACAGTAGCCACAGAAAACTAATGGAGAAGCCTTGTCTCTAAAATCAGAAAATTTACTAATTTTACACAAGTTGGTCAAATTTTACAGCTGAGTATAATGTTGAGAAAGTCAAGCTTCCACTTTAAGGTTTTGTAGTTTCACTTGGAAAGGTGAATTAATAAAAGCAATATACCCCTCATAGCCTTTTGGGGGCTATCAGTGAGATACTGCAGGTAATGAGCTTTGCATAGTGCTTGGTATATGATATTTATAATAAATATAAAAAAATTAGCTATTTCTATTGAAAATCAAATGTATTTGTGGAAATATCTAGCTGGATGTATATTTTAGCTACTTTGCAATGTATTTTGCAATGTACCAAAAATAAGTGGATTGATTAATAGAAATAAAGTTAGTTAAATGAATAGATATGTGCAAGAGCAAGCATAATATAGTGTTAATGCCAGAATTGAGGCCATGGGTTTATGGATGTTCACTGTAACATTCTTTCAATATTTTTGTATGCTTGACAATTTTTACTATAAAACTATTGGAACAAAACAAAATTCATGAATACCAGGGATTTTAGGGCAAGGACACATGTTAAGGTGAAACATATTGTTGGCAAAATTGCAACTTTTGAGAAGAAACCTTGGTTGTAGTCATAGCTCCTTCTTTGGCTTTCTCTAGCCCATCTTTCTCTGATTTGTTAAGAGAATCAAATTATATAAAGGATGCAAACTCTCAATACAAAATAAAGGGTTTTATGGTGTATTTTCTTACATGATTAATAATTTTTCATAGTGATACATTTGTATGTCTTAAAATTGATTGATTAAATCAAATTTAAGTGATTCTATAACACTACTGAAGAAATGTAAACTGCATTTAATGACAGCTCCACTACTACTCCAGGTTCCCTACATTTCACTGGATTATTGTTGCTGCTCGACACTGCTTTCATTCATTCCTTACTGACTACCTCTCATCTTTACATTTACATCCTCTGGTTGATGAATTAGCGTGCAAGGTTGCTTCGAATCTTGAATCACTATAAATTCTGGATTACTAAAGACAGATAAAGTGACTATAAAAATCGATGATAGACTTTATCAACTCTATTATACCCTAGTTTTTCTCCAGAAACCAAATATTTAATAATTATTTTAATAATTAGCTACTTGTAGAGTAGGGCAATAAAGAGAGTTTGGTTAATGGATTCAAGATACAGTTAGAAGCAATAAGATCTAGTGTTTGATAGCACAATGGGAAGACTATAGTTAACAATAGTTTACTGTATATTTCAAAATAGCTAAAAGATTTGGAATATCCTCAACAAAAAAGATGATAAAATATTTGAGGTTATGGATTACCCAAATTTGATCATTACAAATTGTATGCTTGTAACAATGTATCACATATATCCCGTAAATATATAAAACTATTATGTATCCATAAAAATTTTAAAAGGAAAACAATACTACAGAACTGAAAAAAAAAACAATTAGCTACCTATAACCAAGGATTTTAATTTAAGTTTTTTATAGATGGGTTAAGAATTTAGGAAAAACTTGGCAAGTGATTCCAATTAAGTCAAATATCTTAGCATGATCCTGAACCCTCAAGCCCAAACCATATATAAAATTTTTACTATTTAGCAGTGGCATTTCATAAGAGTGGCCTTACATGAATAAAATGGCAAAATTTAACTTTCAGATTTCACTAAGTCTGATATAGTTTTTGAAATTTATTATATAAAAATAGAGAATCTAGGCCTTATATGCAGATGCAATATATGTAATTCATTCTTTGATGAGATGGGAATTCATTCATTTAGTATCTTATAGAACATATATCCTGTGCAAACTGGGCTAGGCAGTAACAAGAGAGTGATGAAACAAACAGACACGGTCTTGCTTTAAATAGAATAACAGGGATGAACAGTTAATAAAGATACACGAAAAAAAGATGAAGAAGGAAAAGGAAGAAAAAAGTGGCAACTGGTAGGGGTAGGAGGATATAAGAGCACATATCAGGAGGCATTGACTGATTAATTCTACATTTCTCAAAATTGTATTCTGATATACAACATGTCTGAAAACATGAAACAAAACATGTCACACAAATGAAAAGCAATCTATCTATTATGGTATCCAGTGATAATTAAAATACACCTGGGCAAATGTCAGAGTCACCCGACAGGTCAGTTATTTTCCACTTAAATATGTATAGCTAAAATTAGAGCATAGTACTTAAAATATAATAAAAAAAGTTAAAAAAATTAAAGCATAGTGAACTGCCTATAATAGGCATTAAGTGAATAGTTGTTGAATAGAATATTTTGATACTACAAGGATATAATTATGTTGTGATTCTACTCATACTGTAAAAGCACATGATTAATACATATGTGCATGCTTCTTTATAACACAAAAGGCATGATATTTATCTCTGAAACAAAAACAATACAGTTCAATTGAACAGAAATTATTATTTTAAACGTCATATTGAAATTTCAGGAAAATAAGCAGAGATATCTTTGTGATAAATTAAATTGATTAAGTGTGTAAGTTCAGTCCTGAAAGAAGTTTTGATATACCACTATCCTATCCACAGACCTACCAAAAAAAAAAAGAAGTTATTATTCTCCTTTCATAGATCCATGAAATGTTGGGTTAGAGTTAGAGTGGATTCTGCAAGCCTCTAAGATAAAAAATGCTTTTAAAATAGTCTTCAGTCTTTCTGGAAATATCTATTCATAGATAATGAACGACAAAATTATACTTAGAGTAAGTATCTTAAAGCCTACTCTTAGAAAACACTTTCAGCCTAATATAAAATACAATGTGCATTTGCAAGTAATAAAATCATATTTGTTTTAAATGCTCTAAAATTCTGATTCATATTATGCTTCTCCATAGCTAGTCTGATTATCTCCATAGCTAGTCTGATTATCTCCATAGCTAGTCTGATTAAACAGGCTTTATATAATTATAATTACACTCACAGAAAGGAACGGCTTTTAGTAAACCCATTCATAATCAATATCAGATCATTTTTACTTTAAATAAATACAAAATATTTTCGTATTTATACTCTCAAATGTTACATAGCCCAAGTCACTAAGCCAAGATTTTATTGATTCTTATGGCCCAGGGTTACAAATTCCTGTTCCTTTCAGAATCCCTATCCACAGTTACATAGCAAATGTGAATAAGTTCAGGACAAAGCAGATGGAGAATAGCAGGGTTCATTAGGCAACATTCCAAGTGCTTGTTTCTGGCAAAAATGTAAAATGAAAAAAAAAAGCCACTGAATCCCTGACCATCACAAGTTCACAGCTCTGTGTGAATGTGATAATGATGGTAGTTAAATTAATGTGTCTCTCTTTGCTACAGGGCAGATCTGTGTTATTCCAGTTGTACATTCAAATACATACTGCATGCAGACTAAAAATCCAACTTTCCTAATATTAATGATGCCCTTAAATTATTTCCAGAGAAAATATAAGAGATAGATAGATAAATAAATACATGCTTATATTCAAACTTCAGACATTGTTTTGAAGACAAATATTTTTAGTCCAAGTAGGAATCTACAAACTAGTAGATAATATTGATGTTACCGCAAAATCTGATAATTCCAGAACTTTTAGTGAAAGCTTATTATTGACAATCAAAGATAGAAAGTATAAGAACATTCTACATTGGTTCTGTGAAAAACAGCCTTACCTCTTTGTTCCACATGTCATCGAATTGGTGACTATTACAATAGATTTGATCTCTACCCACTCATTTCTTCATACCTATGCCCTAACTTAGATATTTATAATAATACAGTTTCATTATAAGTCAATATTTCTAATCTTTAATTGTGTGCTATGTATAATGTCACTCTATGTGTACCCAGAGCATGGCCATATTCTAATTTAGCATGGTTTTCCCCTTTGACAAGTCTGTAATCTACTGAGGAAGACCTGATAATTCTGTGTTATGCACACCACACTTACCAACTCCTTTTCTCTAATGTCAGAGAAAAATTTCCCTCCACCTAAGACAAATATGTCAAACACTCAGCTCTATTATCCTTTTTTTCTTGGTATATTTAACCTTTCTGTCCACTATAACCTCCTCTACAGCCTACAATAACACCAAATTTAAAAGATTTTCAAAATACATGAAAATAGAGACACAACATACCGAAACATCTGGGATGCCACAAAAGCAGGGCTAAGAGGGAACATTATAGCATTAAATGCCTACATTTTCTAAAAAATCGAAAAATCAGAAATCAGTAACCTAATACTGCACCTCAAGGAACTAGAAAAACGAGAACAACCTAAACCCAAAGCTAGTAGAAAAAAAGAAATAACAAAAATCAGAATAGAACTAAGTGAAACTGAGACCAAGAAAAAGGATCAACAAAATAAAATTTGGTTCTTTGAAAAGATAAACAAAATTGATAGACCACTAGCTGGACTAACCAAGAAAAAAGATTCAAATAAACACAATCAGAAATGAAAAAGGAGAAATTACAACTGATACCACAGAAACACAAAAGATCATTCAGAGACTATTATGAACAACTACGCTCACCAGCTAGAAAGCCTAGAGGAAATGGATAAATTCCTGGAAACATACAGCCTCCCAAGATGAACCAGGAAGAACTATAAACCCTGAACAGACCAATAATGAGTAATAAGATAGAATCAGTAATAAAAATCTCCCAACAACAATAACAAAAGAAACCCAGGACCAGATGGATTCACAACTGAGTTCTACCAGATGTACAAAGAAGAACTGGTACCAGTCCTACTGAAACTGTTCCAAAAAATCAAGGAGGAGGGAATCCTCCCTAACTAATTTTATGAAGCAGTATCACCCTGATACCAAAGCTAGACAAGGACTCAACAAAGTCCCTCCCGTTCTTTAAAATGAAGCAATACCTTTGCTTTACTCTGCATGTTCCCACCACAACATTCCCAATCCATTGCCACACTCTCTCCTCTTTCCTTGTCAAATTTGCAATTATAACCTGCTCTATTTTCCTCTTATTCCTTCCCAACTCTTCTTCAACTCACTACAATCAGTACCTTTTGAAAATACCTTTGCCAAATCCACCAGTGACCATCTCTTGCAAAATCTAACAGACACTTTTAGGGCTTCTCTTTTCTCTTCTCTTTGGCCCTCAAAATACTGTCTCAACTAGTTCTCTCCTACCTCATTGACATTTAAGTATGCATCAGTAGATGTTTTTCTCTTTTTGTCTTATAAATACCAACTCCTCAAGGATCTCATCCTCAGCTCTTTTTTCTTTACACTCTGCTCTAAGAAATCTCATATAATTTACTGGTTTTAACTACCACCTATACACATAATAAAGACATTTTACAACTGCATCTGTGTTCCTGGCTTCTTCCCAAAGTTCCAGGATTCTATGAACAGCTGCAAATACTGTATATATGTATACATATTTGTGTTTTCATCTGTCATATAACCAAATTCTTCATCAGACCATGGAAAACATGGACTAACAAAGATTTTTTAAAAAACAAAATGGTTAAAAGAAATAATGACATAATCACATCCATTAAAAACAGCTGTATTATAATTAATATTTTGCCCCAAAATATTATGTCCCAAATTATGCATGTGCATTGTCTGTACATATATCTTAATGCCAAAACCTTTCTATACAGATCATCCATATTTCCGCATGAGAAAAGCTTTACAGTCAATATGACCTTTAAAACAAAAAAATTATATAAGTAAAACATAAAGTCAGCTTAGATTCCCTTTCTCAGTTTACATTTTCATTAAGAAACATTCATCACCATCAAATATTCTCAATTCTTCAGCCTGGGAAGGAACAGCGCATCAGTACCTCTGATTTAACCTTGATACAAAAGAAGTGTGCCTGTTAGCAGTTCACATTATTTTAATAGCTACCAAAATGAACATACAGCATTGAGTTCATTTCCTAAAGAGAAAAATCTAATTCAACAAGATAATGAGCATTTCTGAAAGCCCACCATGGGAATATAGTGGCTGCTTAGAGTGGATTGTCATTGATCAACAGTTACCCATGCTGTGGTCTCACATGGACTGACTCACTGACCTGGACATAAACAGAATCCTGCTAACTTCATTTTTAAAGTAATGTTTATTTTAGGAGGATTGCATATCTGAAGTATTTCTTGACACCAGAGCACAGCAACTATCTGCATTTTTTGCTGTTGGATTTTGCTTTTGCCAATGGGAAAAAAATCCACTGTAAACAGAACCATTTGCTCATCTTGTACCCACTACAAAAAGCTCTACCACTGATTGTTCTCACTTTCTTAATCATCAGCCTTAAAATATCTTTTTATACATATATGTTAATTAATAATACCAGTTGGAACAGGAGAAAAAGAATGCAAGTAGACCTGAGGTTACAAAGTGTGTTTTTAGACTACCTGTTTTCAGAATCACTTGAGTGCTTAAAGAACTAAAAATAAATATTTTTTAAAATAAATTTCTGGACACCCCAGGAAATTAATTTAATAGAATATTTATGGTAGAGCAAACGTCCATATTTTAATAGCCTTCCAAGGTGATCCTTGTGTACACTAAAGTTTGAGAACAAGGTATGTTTTTATTGTATTTACTGAGTTGACTTTGGGCAAGAAATTAGAAGAAGGAATTCAAAGCAGAAGAGGTTGTCAAAGATGTTTTACCTATAAGAAAACGGGATTCCGGGCTGGGCGCGGTGGCTCATGCTTATAATCCCAGCACTGTGGGAGGCCGAGGCGGTCAGATCACGAGGTCAGGAAATCAAGACCATCCTGGTTAACACGGTGAAACCCCGTCTCTACTAAAAAATACAAAAAATTAGCTGGGCGTGGTGGCGGACGCCTGTAGTCCCAGCTACTCGGGAGGCTGAGTCAGGAGAATGGCATGAACCCGGGAGGCGGAGCTTGCAGTGAGCGGAGATCGCGCCACTGCACTCCTGCCTGGGCCACAGAGCGAGACTCCGTGTAAAAAAAAAAAAAAAAAAAAAAAAAAACCAAGAAAGAAAAAAAGGAAAAAGAAAATGGGATACCGGTTAGAGAAGGTGCCAGTAATACTCACCTGAGAAAATGCCAAAGAATTGAAGGCATTCTAGCATGAGGTCCTAGAGACCTCAGGGACCTAATAAATCACATTATTTACTGTCTACATCTTTAAGATTAGCCTGACTGCCTCTGCTCTCTTTCGAGTTAAAATAACCAACTCATTTCATTTCATTTTGCTGCACAAAAAAAGCAGTCACTTCAAGCATCCAGCTTGGCCCAGATATAATAATAAGGCCATGCCTTGGAAAGGAAGTGAAAAAGAATAAAACATGAACCAAAATTTTATCTCTTCTTCAATGGAAGCTGTGAATTATGGCTAAAGATAAGCCGATAAAACTGTGAGCGATGCTCTGCTTTAAAAACAGCAGCGAGTGAAATAACAATTTGGCAACCAGCATGAAGAATGCAAAATTTTCCCTGAAATGGAGATCACGTTTGAGGATGAAATTTTCTTATGTGAACAAGAATTTTTGAGTGAATTTAGTTCAGTTCTAACTGCTTTTCCATATCCATAAATATTACCCTGACTCAGCCTTTCTCTCTCTTTCTCTAAATACATTTTCTGGTGGTAGCTATTATAACTCTTCTCCAGCACCAAGGAGATGTCTAAGCAGAAATATGCTAAAGCCATGTTTTCAACTATAAAATAAAATAATAGTTGACTTTGAAAGCATGATTTATAATTTTGTCTTTTTTTAAATTTCTGAAGAACGTTGTGACAACATTAATTATTAGACTTTGTTTTTCTTCTAAACCTGTCGGAGGAATTAATAAAGTATTGCAGCGGAAGAAAAACTACGAGCAAACATATATTTCAGCCATAAATTCCACATATGTAAAACTGAGGCAACAATATCTTCCCTAATTTCTTCATAGGCTTGATAGGGGCATCAAAGGGCAATATGTATGTCAGTTACTTATTGCTGCAATAACAAACCACCCTAAAATATAGGCATCAGAATAAGAATCATATATTAACTAGGGATTCTGCAATTTGGACAGTGTTTAGCTGAGAGATTCCCCTAATGGTCTCTCCTGTGGTCAGTCATGAGAGGGATCTACTGGGCTTGGTTGGGCACAGTGTTCTCACTTACATGTCTGGACTTTTTTTTCTGGGCACTTCTGTTCTTCACATAGCTTCTCCAGCCTACGTCAAGAGAGTAAGTCACATCATGTAAGAATCTATCAAGCCTCTCCTTGCATCAAATTTGCTAATATCCAACTGGCCAAAGTAAGTCGGATGGCCAAAAAAAAAATCATTAGACAAGGAGATTACACAAAAATGTGGATAGATAGGTGTGATTTGTCAGGGACCATTATTATTACAATCTATCAAATGTGTATGATAATTATTTTGTAAATGGCAAAGAATCATACAAATATAAGTAATTTAATAGTAAAAGTTAGAATAGTAAAGAATTATAAAAATAAATTTGAACTAAGTTGATCAATGTCTTCCCTCCCTCGAACATTGATCTTGTTTGCTACCATGTAATAAATTTGATTGATTTAAATTTTATCACGTTAAAAAATATCCTTCAAGGTTTATGTCTGTGGAAACACATTTGGGATACATGTCTACTCATGAATAAATGGAAAAACCAAAACGCAGGCAGACAAAAAAGAATATCTGATATATAATGACCAAAAAAGAAAAAAAAAGTGAAGAATAATCATAGACTTCAGTGAATTAAAGATTAGAAGTGGAGATGCATAATTTATAAAACTTTTAATGTAACGATTAATGTCATAGACTCAGGAAGATGAAAAGAAATTGAGAGATTTTCTATTTCCTCCAGAACACCATTTAGTATCATGCCAAGAAAAAAAAAACAAAAAACAAACTTATGCTTTAAAAAAGTGGAGGAAAAAAAAAGCCATCTCTTCCATTAGCACCATTTAGTAAACAATGATTCTCACTGTGGGAAATACCTTTCTTGTTTCTAACTTCTGCTATTCATGCTAAAACTTGGGCTCATTTTCTTTGCTCTTGTCCTTAGGCAAACTGAATGAAAACTGGTTACTCTCTTCACACAATTGCATAACCCACCATACACTTGAAGGCTGTTCTTAGACACCTCTTATTTTTCTCTTCTTTGGGCTAAGTTGCAGTTTTCTAACCTGTCCCTCAAATGTTTTATTTTCAAACCCTTCAACCACTTTCACTGCACTCTTCTAAATTCTCTCAACAATGTCAATACCCATCTCTAGGGAGTGAGGCTTCTTTATCCTAGGTTGTGATTAACCGGAGAAAACTATAATGCAAAGTTAACCTCTGCAACATTAGATTATCTTGAGGATTAAATAAATCGATAAAGTTTCTTTAAATGAGCTTAAAACAGTAACTAGTATAAAATAGCAAGTAGTAATTACAGTAGTAGTGATAGTAATTATTTGACACTTTGATTTTAAATACTATGTGCTGGCACTTTTCCTAACAGAAACACATTTCTGACTAATATGTAGCTCTCTAACCCACACTGACTGCTGGCTCTTCTTCACCTTTATTCAGAAAGAATCAATGATTTCCATTTAAGCATTCCATTTTAAAAAATTTATTCATTTATCAAAATCATTCAGAATTTGAATCCATCTTCTTACTTTCAATGCGATGTTTCCATGTTTGAGTAATGTTGTGGCTAATATAAATTTAGTATAATGTATTGGATAAGCCATGTGGTCCTGAGACTGGGTTGAGAGAAGAACAATACTCTTTAATGAGT
Source organism: Homo sapiens (assembly GCF_000001405.40). Lineage (NCBI taxonomy): Eukaryota > Metazoa > Chordata > Mammalia > Primates > Hominidae > Homo > Homo sapiens. Next base: position 75,141,779 of record NC_000012.12, read on the forward strand.
ATTACTATGTACCAGAGTAAAAAATTTTACATGCTTTGAAGCATCATCTAACGTCATTCAAACAATAAACAATAGCTAACATGTATTGAGCATTTACCGTATGTCATCCTGTGCTAAGCAAATTATGTGTTATTTCTTTCATCCTCACAAAAATATACTGCCTTAGTATTCACTCATTCTGTACTCATTTTATAAATGAGGAAATTAGGTCTTAGAGAGGTTAAGTGACTTGCTTAGAGCTACGCAAGTAGTAAGAGGGAATACCTGAATTCAAATTCAGGTCAGACTCTAGAAGCTGATTACCTAATCCTTAAATAAACTTCCTGTACAACTGTCACTAAAAATCCTGCAAAGGAGTTATCAGCTTCATTTCATAGCTGAGAAAATTAAAGCAGAGAAAGATTAATAATTTGTCCAAGATCCTACTTTAAATGGCTAACCTAAGACTTGAACACAGTCTGACTTCACGATTAAAAACAAACAAAACAAAGAGATAAGACAATTGTGGTCCCAGAAAGCACAAATCTGCAAATGTGAATTTCTCATTATACTATTTAGACAGACTTGTCATTTACAAGTCAAAAATGAAGATTTGAAAATAAAATAATAATAAAAACAATAGAATCTGTGTGCTAAACAGTTTTTGAAGCCCTCTTGAGTAAGTGGTGTCACTGATAACTATCATTGATTAAACAGGCACTCTACGTCCAATATAGCAAACTGCCTGCAAGACTTAGTGGCTTACAACAAATCATTTATTTTGCTCATAGATCTGTAGTTTGAGGAGGAACAGACCACTTCTGCTCCATGTGGCATTAGTTGTTGAAGGTTTGAATGGGGTTCCAGAAGATTCACTCATGACTTGAAGATAGGTTTAGATTGTTAGCTGGGAGTCAGCCAGGAATATTGGCTAAGGGCCTCAGCTCCTCTTTTCATGGGCCCCTACAAGGGTTGCTTAGGCTGTCTCACAGCGTAGTAGTTGGATCCAAAAAGCAGCATCCCAAGACAATATACATTAAAGCTAGGTTGTCTTTTATGACCTAACCTGAGAAGTCACACAGTGACACCACTATAGCCACAAGTCCGCCTGCTGATATCCAAAGCAAGGGAACACAGACACCACCTGTTGAAGAGAGGAGTGTTAAAGTGATAAAGTATTTATTCCCTCGCACTCCTTTTACTTTAAAAGTTTCATGATTTAACACCAATTAATAATTTTAGGCCCATTCCCAACTCTCAAATCCAAGAGGATGTGGAAAGCCCTGATCAAGCAGTTCTGCATCCTCAGAATGGGTCCGTCTCAGAGGCCTTTAGAAATGATGATGTTAGTGAAAGAATATCATCCTGGAAGTTAGGAAATTCGAGATCTAATTCCAGGAGATTTAACCAATTTGTTATATAATTAAAGTCCCTACAAGTCTCACTTCCCTCATCTACGAAGTGAGGGAGTTGACCTCGGCGATCTCCAAGGCCTCTGAGATTTATGATCAAAGTAACTTATTTCCTACCTATTCTCCTGTACTTATGTCTCAAACTTCATACTCTACTGCCCATCCAGAAACAGAATTTTTCTGCCCCTGAAAATACATCTCTGTTAGTAGGCACCTGCTGCTACAACTTCTCAGAGGACAACCTGCCTTCCAGAATTTCCATCAAGTGTACCTCTTTCATTCAGCTGCCACACCTGACTAGCGAGGTAGACACTACATTTGGTAACTGAACTGGATGTGGTTCCAGGCCCCTGCCTTTTCTGACTTATCTTCAGATTCAAGCCCTACATGCCTGTTATTAAAATAACAGGCTCTGTCCTTGATCTTGAGCTCTCCTTAACATTCATCTAATCAAAAAGGTTCTAATAGAAATCCCTGACTTTATGACATAAAAATTCCCACTGTCATTTGATCCTGGATTCTCATGTTTATTCTTCATGCTTCTCCCTTTCTAGAACTGTATTTTTAAAAAACATCTAGTGAGTTGTATTTTTCACCATGACATTTGCTTCTACCTGCAAAAATAATAGAAAACCTTACACAAAATCTTCTGTAACTCAGATTGAAAACTCTTATTATGTATAATTTGTTTGGATGGGAGTTTTAATTAGACATGTAAAACTAATTTAAGTGTCAGCAATATTTTTTCTAATATGTCTGCTGACATATCCTCTATCTGATAATAAAAATGATGCACAAAAGGTAAAGATCATTTCATGGGAGTGAAGATTACCTAGGAAAACATCACCATTCATGGTGAACATCCATTTTTATATGACTGACATTGTATTAATAATTATGACAGTTTCACTTGCCACCAAAAGGGGAAAAAAGCAGAATACCAGTTTTATTGTACAAAGATAGATTCGTCATTTGTATTGCCTGATGAATATTAACCATCATTACTTTTTAAATTAATTATCTTTTTTAAAAAATTAATATGTCATAAGCATCCTCAGGGCACTAACTATTCTGAAATACAAGTTATTGGAAGACATGGGTATATTCCTTACATATCTTTAAAATGCAACACGGTAGGCTTATCATGCATTCACATCATGTGATAGAGCAGATATAATCAGTGAATTAGTAGAGTGTTGTCCCACTAGTACATTAATGTTTTATTCATTAAATTATTAAGTCGTTGGCTACTGCACTAAATTAGGGCCACTAGAACTCCAAAGTATGCTTGTATAGGCAAGTGTAGTGGCATATGCTTGTAGTTCCAGCTACCTGGGGGGTTAAGGCAGGAAGATCAATTGAGCTCAAGAGTTTGAGACCAGCCTAGGAACCATAGGAAGACTGTCTGTAAAATATATATATACACATTTTTGTGTATGTGGGTGTACTTTTGTGTGTGTGTGTGTGTGTGTATATATATATATGTACAACACACCAAAAACACATTCCAGAGTTTCTTCACCATTTTAATTTGTCCTTATTTATAGCCTAACTTTATAAATACTTATACCTTGTAAATACTTCATTAACGTCACTGGGCCATCAAAATTCCAGTTGGTGTTCAAATTGTGAATTGTCTACGGTGAATGGTTTCTTCCTTTTGACATGGACATTATATCACCAAGACTCAGGAAGTAGAGTCTTTCCATAATCGAAATAGTCAGAGTTCCTCACCAACTCCAAATCTCATTAAACTTACAGTCAAGTGGATGAGAGAGTAAAAAAAAAAGGAAAAAAGGGATTATGCTTATAGAGCCAGCAATGTGATTCTCACAAATCCATTGAGGATATTTTAGACCTGCTCTGATCTTCTGTGTCTTTTTACTGGAAAAATTACTGAGCCAGAAGGCTAAAGCCTTGCAACATCTGTGTGCCAGTTATAAATTCAGAACCGAGTCATTTATCTGCCCACCTCAATTTTCCCGTTCCCAAGCTGAAAGGGTTGGTCTATGTCTTAACTTAGTAAAAACTTTGGATCCTCTCCAAAAAAAAAAAGTACCTCAAACAATTAATGTATGAAATTTCAGGAGATTCAAGTGCTTCTTAACACTTCCCCATGTTCTCTTTAGCACAGCATTTTAAACAATCCCAAGTTTAAAATGCCTGGGCCAAATGATTTCTAACACTCTATGAATAAATAAATAAAGCTCTATAAATTTTACATTGGCTTCTGTTTATTTACATGCTGGGTCTAAGCCAGCTACATTAAGCTCATATCCTATTTTCTTTTCTTTTATTAAAAAAAAAAAGACATTATCCTTGTAAGAATTGCATAATGATTACTTTCAAAGTCTTTCTACATTTTTAATCTTATTTTATATGACCCCGTTAATATACAGGTTCAACCATTCCTTGATCATCATCTGTCATGTTTTTCTCATATTTATTTTCATATTGAGGCTAAAACTGGGGGTAATAATTTAAAACATTTAATCAGTGTCAAGGATAGTAGAAAGATAATTTCTAGTGTCTTCTTGTTGTATATTCTGGTAAATAGTGCTACGTATATGTACTAAGATTTTTTGGGTAGGGAAGAGAATTAACTGAAATATTTTGAAAATATAGAAAAATATAGAATATGGTAAAATGAACACTTTCATGTCCATCTAGAATTAATATATATTACTGTTGTATTATATTTGTTTCAGGTCTTTTTCTTTTGTTGTTTATTTTGTTTAAGAAATAAAATGTTACAGCTACAACTAAAGTCTTACAGTCTTACCAATTTTTTTTTTTTTTTTTGAGATGGAGTCTCCCTCTGTTGCCCAGGCTTGAGTGCAGTGGCGCGATCTCTGTTCACTGCAGGTTCCACCTCCCGGGGTTCACACCATTCTCTTGCCTCAGCCTCCCTAGTAGCTGGGACTACAGGTGCCCACCACCACGCCCGGCTAATATTTTGCATTTCTAGTAGAGACGAGATTTCACTGTGTGAGCCAGGATGGTCTCGATCTCCTGACCTCATGATCCACCTGCCTTGGCCTCCCAAAGTGTTGAGATTACAGGCAACAACCTTACTGACTTTTATTTTTCATCAGAGATAATCACTATCCTATAGTTGGTTTATTTCATTCCCATGAAGAGATTTTTAACATGTAGATATACTCACCAATAAAAGAGATACAATATGTATTACAGTTTTATGTGACTTAAATAATTTATATAAGTGACATCTCTGGCTGCTCATTTGAATATTGCTTTTTATGGAACATTTTGATTTTGAGATGTATACATGTTATTAAAAGTAGATCTGTTTTATTAATTTTAACTGCTGTGGAATAGTTTAGTATATGTGTAAACCACACTTTATTTCTTTAATCCATCTCTGAAATAGATTTGTTTCATATTTTTGCTATTAAAAATAGTGCAACCATTACCATGCTTGTGCAAGTGCATGAATTTCTCAAGGATACATACCTAGAAATAGAAATAGAATTGCTAAGTCATAAGATATGTGCCTCCTCAACTTCAATGATTGCTGATAAATTGATCTGTGTAGCAACTGTAACAATTTTAACTTCCACCAGCAGTATATAAGAATCTCCATTTCCTCACATCTTAGCAACTGTTAGTGTCATTACATGTATTAATCATTTTATGTGTATATAATGTAACCATTGATTGGTTTAATGTGATTCCCGAGGAAACACTTTTCACTGAGTCTTTGAACAATTGTGCTGAGGTCTGAGTGAGAAAAATGAGAAAATAAATATAAGCAAAACAAAAAGTACCAAGGATCTGAAAGAAAAATAAAAACCTTAATATTTACACATCATAAGACTTTATACTTAGAAAATACAGGAGAATCCACACAATTTTAGGTGCAATAAGAGAGTTTAGCAAGTTTGCTAGCTATGTGATCAATACTCAAAAATTCTTACCATCCCTTTAAAAATGAAACATTTTCATTTTATTGTAACATTTTAAAATAAATAATTACATTTTGTTGACAATAGCAATAAAAACAATAAGACACCTAGAGATAAACAAAATGTGTGCAAGGTATTTACAGACAGAAACATGAAATTTTATACATTATAAAAAATGACCCAAATAAATGGAGAATTTTTTTTCGTGGGAAAGAAGACAATCCTCCTCATACTAATCTATTATTTCAATGAAGCTCTGATTATTAACCAGACAACGTTTTCTTAAAAGTTCACTTTCTTACCATCATATTCACACTGAATATTAGGCTTTTCACTAGACCAACTTACGACCTAATTGACTTAAAGTCAGTTGAATGTGAAAATAAAATTAAAACAATCCAAGAAGTGATAGGTTTTAAAAGAATAGGAAAACAAATAAAAACTATAGTCATCATCTAAGGTGGTCAGAAAAGATGTTTACATAATTAAATTTGGACCTGGAATTTTAGTTAAAACTTAAATAAATAGGATAGGGAAAAAGTGTCATTCCTGCAAGACGAAATTTTCTGAGCAAAGCACAGACATGACACATGGCTTGGCCAAGACCACAAACCTAGTATTTATGGAAAAAGACATGGATAGATCCTAGGGCTTCTTTCACCACACTCAGACGTTACAGTTTCCAAGCTCTAGCCATGAAGAGACCAAAGTAACCTAGTTTTCAGATATCTAAGGTACACAACAGTTAGTGATCTGGAAGATATTTCTGGGGCAAACATTCAAAGTTTAGAGTTTGAAAGGCAATGAGTAAATATAAAAAGTATTATAGTCCAAACTACAAATACATTTAAATATCAGACTTAGGAGTTTGGACTTCACTATAAAAGCTAAAATTAGCAAAATTTTATTGTGTAAAAACTAAGTAAAGAACATGGGCTATTGATTAAAATTTATAGCATCCAAATTGTAAATAAAAGACAGTACATCTCTCTTTTCCCCATCCACTTTTCCCTACAATGTATACATATATCAGAACATTGCATTGTAGCCCACAAATATATGTAATTATCATTTATCAATCAAAATAAAAATTTAAAAGACAGCACTATGTCCTCCAAAGTATACAATCTATGATTCATTGTCACATGGTCCTAATCTTATCCTTTACATGACTAGTAAAAGAATAAATGACATAACCTCCATCGAAACTGACAACCATAAGCTCTTCCATGGCTGACATGGGAGCTGTGACAACTATTCATTCAAAATGAGCTCTCAGGAAATATTTTCCGCCTTGATTTTCTTTTAATCTAAGCATCCTTAGGTCAGGAGGTCTGCCTGCCCCTAGCTGTATAAATGATAAACTGGAAATATTTGTTTTCTTTTGTTTTTCCTTCAGCTTATGTCTTCCTATTTATTTTCTTCTTATTTTAGTAATTTAAAACAAGAAAGGCTAGCTTGGTGACTATGATATTTCAATATTTCCTTTTGAAAGATTAAAAGAAGATATATGCTGTGTATTTCATGTTATATTTTTTAGGTAAAATAAAATTACATTACTTTTTTGTTAACCAAAAACATAAATCAATGCCTATTACTAAGCGTTGTTGTGGTTTTATTGCTTCTCATCAAACTTTGGCCAATTTCTTTAAAGAACATTGAAACTTTTTTGGCTTCACATTACCTAATATCTTTCTAGAAAAGTAATTAGTCAATATTCTGAATTCAGTTTTGTTTATTTTGTTTCTTGTTTTATCTTTGCCTCAATTTCAGCTCAACAATTTGAGGATTTCCCCATCTGGAAATGCAAACCTTTTTTAAAATGGCATTATTTCTTACATTTTTATGTCACATTACATTTCTTGATGTAAATGAGTGTGAGCATCTTTTTGGTGACTGATATACAAAAAAAAAAAAAGAATCATAGAGGAAATTGAAAACTGATATCATCTTATCACTATCTACCAGAATATTAGAATGTGAAACCCAAGTGATGAATGGCCAATTCCCAATAACTCAATTAATCAAGGCTGAATTTTGGAAATCTCTATCCAGTCATTTAAAAAGTTAATGGTTTGGAAAAGTTGGAGGAACTCTGTATTTGTGTCTGTGTGTGTGTGTGTGTAAAGTATGTAATTTATTTTGTAGTTTTCCCACTTATTCTACCTCTTGTAGCAGTAATATTAATATTAATGTGCAAAAGTTAGTGAATCCTGTGTCCACAAATTTCCATTCATGAATCAAGACTGCATATTAGCCATCTCATTATTTTTTAGTCTTCTGAAGACTACATATTTGCCTTCCCTCCAAAAAATGTTATGTAACCTGATAAAAATCAAGAAACTATATACCATTTTAAATGTGAATAAAATTTCAGGTTAAGCTGAAATCCTCATCTGTAGAAAATGGTTTTCTTGCCAGTCCTCTAAGAAGCCACACTAATGAAAGAAATGATCAGCGGATGTGGTATGTCTGTCCACAAACATTTTAGTTCAAATCTTATATTGAGCATCTTTAATCTTCATTACTGCTCAACATTTATACGTTAAATAGCCAATGTTTGTTTTAATTTGTCTTTTGAATTGTGCCCCAGAATTTAAAGTAACACTGAAAGGATCTTAATTACCTGCTTTGAAAAAAAAAAGTCTAGTATAATTATCTGATAATATAAAAGGAAGATAATAAAAATGCGTAAATATAATTATTAAATTTAGACTGAAAAAATTCAACATCTTCTTACTCAAATCTTGGGCACTTAGCTAAGGGCTGCAATGGAGGATTATTGAGACAAATTCAGTAAAAATTTCCATTTCATTCAACCAACAGAGTCAGTGCTTTTAACATACTAAATTTGAACATGCTTAGGTTAGGCATGGACATTTTAATTTGCCAAAGTGTCCAGAACTCTTTGGTATTTTGCAGTAAGCCATCGCCTGTGACTCCTGAAGTCATTTGATTATACAACCTTGAATATAAACTGACATTCTGCACCTCTATCCAGAGCCTGCTATAACTCATTTCTACTAAATACATATTCCTATACAAGCTTTACTCATAGGACACAAAAAATTCCTTTATTACAACAAAAATTCAGAAACCTATTTATTCTCAATAATTTGGATGACTCATAAAAATAAAATAACCTCAATGATCTCTGCTTAACAGTTTACTTTTCACTACACCCTCATCCGTTACACTAACACACTTTATCTTTTTCAATAATAGTAAGCTTATAGTTCTGTGAAATATATCACACTACCATTCCTGTAGAAAGTCTAGCCTCCAGACTAGAACCATCATCACCACCAGTCTTGATTTATTTACTTGGTGAATGACTATCAATACACAAATTTCAAGACCACTCTTCTTTTTCTTTCTTTAATCATGAACACTTTTGCTTAAAAACTCCACTCTCAAGGGTTCCTTGACTCCCACAGGCAGACTAAGTTGATCTTTCCTATAAGCACCATCAATACTTCCTTGGCATTATATTGTTTTTTATTGCATAGCTATCCATTGCTAGACTGTGAGCACCATCAAAGCAAGAACATCTCAAACATATATCTGCCTATACTATGAAATACAGTCTACAGAAATTAAATATTACATGATTCTAATCAAGATTTTATAGTTACATTTAATACAAATATGGCAATATTTCACATATTTATTTTTAATAAATAATGCTCTTCTGAATATCATCAATACTTTCATAACTAGATTTTTCTTTATATCGTTGCAAGAATAAAATGAATGTTATTATAAGAACTCAGCTATGTAAAACGTAACCTTCAAAACTCTAAAGTAAAATTTAGAGATAGATTCCATTTTCTATGCACCCATGTTCTTGAATTAACACTTAAGATATCTGCTTCCATTAGTATGGTGGATTATATGCTCTACATAAAATCTGGAAGAGGAATAAATATCAAAAATGATTTTTATCTTAACAGTTTTTGCCTGAAGTCAAAAGATTTTGAATTTCCATTTTGATAACTGGACGGGCTTGCAGATACAAGCTCACCAAAGCCCAAAGCCTTCACGATGCAAGAAAACTAATAGAAAAACCTTGCACAGAAAATTAAATATAGGAGAAACAAACCCTTTATTTGTATGAAACCCTTCCATATCAAACAAACATACTGTCTAGATTCTGATTGTGGGTGAAGAGAAAAATAAAGTGCTCCCCTGAGAATTTGTAACCACAGAATAGTCTTCACACAAGTTTGCAGTTGGAATTCACACTACCTGTACAGTATCAAGGTCTTCGTTCGGAGAATTTAATCTAAAGCTAAATTGGGTTGGCCCACTGCCAGTTGTCTGGCAAAGAAAAAAATGCAAATCCTCTTTGGAGCAGCTCAACTTTAAAACAGACTTCAAAGAATTCCCAAAGATAAAAATTTTAAGAGAAATGAATAGCTCACAGTCAAATTTCACAACCTGAATAAAAACCAAGTCATCATAAATGAGAACCAGAAGAATGAAGAATGTAGGATAGTGATTGGCATGTAAGTGTGTGAGAGAGAGAAGATAGATAATACAAAAATTTTAAAAGAAAGAAATTATTGGAATTATCATCTACTTATTTGATACATTTAAAGCAATTAGATCTGTAGGCAACATTTGGTATTATCAAGAATCAACCAGATTTGAAAAAGAACCAAACAGAACTGATAGAAATTTAAAAATACAATGAAATTTAAATTTATTTTAAAGGGCAACTAAAAACATCAGTTTAAGAGAAAATTAGTGAACTGGAATAAACATCTGAGATATTACCTAGAATGTAGTAGAAAGGGTCAAAGAGAAAGTCTAATATATATATATAATATATTATATATTATACATTTATATATAATATATTATATATTATACATTTATATATTATATATTATATATATTACATATTATACATTTATATATATATAATTATAGGTTAAGAAAGCACTCAATATTGCTGTGAACCTATAATTAATTGCTACAAATAAAAAACATCAAAGTTTTAAAAAGTGCCCAGTAAAAAGAAAGGAGAGCAAATGCTGTTCAAAGAAATACAGTAAGGCCAATGACATTTCCAGGAGAAGATCTGAATGACTCAATCCTCAGATTGAGGAAGTTCTACAAATCCCAAGCAGAATTAATAAAAATAAATACATACGTAAACATATCATAGTAAAAAAAAAGAGTATCAAAATGAATAAAAAGATCTTAAAATCAACGAAAAAGAAAACACAAAAAATAAACAAAAACACGTTATTAAAACAACTGGTTTCCAAATAATAATAGAAACCAAAAAAGAATGGTTCCCTTGGTTTACTGAGAGAAAATAATTGTCAACATACAATTCCATGTGTATATTTGAAGCATTTGTATGTTTAAGTCATTTTTCCACAAGTGATTATTAAGAGTTAATGAAAAACATTCTCACTAAAGGAAATTTTTATTTATATCCTTCAAGGCAAAGAAAAATTATTCCAGATATAAGATTGAAGATGGAAAATAAGAACATTGGTAAATATGTAGGTAAATTTAAACAAACATTAATCGTATAACTTACCAGTAAAAATGACTAATCGTATGTTCATTTAGGGTGGGAAGTAAACAGCTAGAATTAAAGTTCTCAGAAATAATAATACATAAGTTGTTGGAAGGGCCATAGAGTTGGAGAATTCTAAGGTATTTGATTTGTTTCAGGGAGAAGACTCAATGCAATAAATTATGACTCAATAATTTGGAAGCCTCAAGTAAGGTATGCATATGATGTGTGCAAAGGTAATCACTAGAAAAACAGTTGTAGTACACACAACATTCGAAAATTAGAGGCGAATTATACAATGACAACATAAATTTAAAAACTCAATTCACCCAAAATGACTGGGTTGGGGGCGACGTGAAAAGCACAAGGGGAGACAGTGGGAAAAGTGGCAACAATAAACATGGATGAATTTTTAGGTATCGTGAAGTAAATTCAGAGAAAAAAATACTGTATTACTTAGTTAACTTAAAGTCCACAAAAAGTCAACACTAAACCATATATTGTTTAGGATTGCCATTTGGAATAATAGAATAAGAGATGGCTACATGTGATTGGGAAGAAGACATGGTGTGTTCCTAAGGTACATGTAATGTTCTATTTCACAGGCTGAGGGAGGTAGCAACGATGTTTATTTTATCATTTTTCTTAAAGTATGTGTATACAGCAAACCTTTGAATAATCCAGGAGTTATAGGTGCCAATCTCCCATGCAGTTGAAAATTTACGTGTAACATTTGACTCCCACAAATACTGCATATTCGGACTTGTAAGTGGTAGCTAAATAATGTGTACACATGGATAGAGAGAGTGGAATAGCAGACATAGGAAACTTGGAAGGGTGGGAGGGTGAGAAGGGGCTGAAAGATAAGGATTTGCTTAATGGGTACAAGGTATATTACTTAGTGATAGCTACACTAAAAGCCCAGTCTTCACCACTATGCAATATATCCATTAACAAAACTGCACTTTGTATCCCCTAAATCTATAATAATAATAATAATAATTTTTAAATATGTTTCTGCAAAAAAAAATGAATAGCCTACTGTTGACTGGAAGCCTTAATGATAACAATTAACACATATTTTATATATGTATTATATACTGTATCCTTACAATAAAGCAAGCCAGAGAAAAGAAATGTTATTAAGAAAAACGTGAAGGAGAGAAAATATATTTATTATTCACTAAGTGGAAGGGGATCATCATAAATGTCTTCACCCTCATTATCTTCACATTGAGTAGGCTGAGGAGGAGGCAGAAGACAAGAGGTTGGTCTTGTCTCAGGGATGGCAGAGGCAGAAAAGGTGGAGGAGGTGGAAGGGGAGGCAGGAGAGGCAGGCACATTCTGCGTACTTATTGAAAAAAAACTATGTATAAATGGACCTGCACAGTTCAAACTCACATTGTTCAAGAGTCAACTATAATTTTACACACTTTTGTTAGTACAATATATCTCCTAATAAAATTTTACTATCAGGACTCTAAAAAAGAAATATATTTCTATTCCATTGAGTGCTTTCATGATAGGACTGACTAGATAGAGCATGCTGAAGTAGATGACCCCTAGGGGGTCCCTCCTGTCTCTGATATTTATTTATTTAGCAAAGCATGCAACTATCACATTTGTTGTATCAGGAGAAATGGTTATGGAAGATTTGGATGACAGCATTTGAAATACTGGCATCTCAAACAAGCAATATTTTTGATACAAAACTGGCTTTATAGAGTGAGCAGCTGAGATTTAGGAAACCTTAGTTGAGTTCTCCTTTCCAGGGATCATCACACCTGTCCTCGAAGTTGTCTATTTCTAGACTCCCAGCCTGATGGCCTCATGGAGGTTCAGCAGATTTCATTTTATGCAGTCTTTACACCTTGGCAAATGTCAGGCTTCTAGGACTCATCCCCACTGGCATTTGTAGCAAGTAAAAGATAAGCTACAATAAATCAGACTGACTAAATTCCCCAATACCATCTGTGCTGCTACAGCATACATAGATGCCATCATATTTTAAAAAAGAAATCTGACTGGCAATGAAGTGTTTTGAGTCATGAAATATGTGAGCTGGTCACCCAAATAAGTAGGAAAGGAAAATCACATGAAGCTTTTATAATTCTGAGCTATTTTCATTTGATGTCATTTTATAAATCATATGGTACTGGTGCTATAAAACTAAATACACAGCATATAAATAGATAATATAAAAGTCGTGTGGCTTTCTACAATAGTTACAACACAGCAACTGCCATGCAAGATTTCTTTTACATTTTTGGACATTTTGAAAAACTAATTTTTTTTCTGTCACTGTTCTGTCTTTATTGAGCCTATAGAAAAGTATTTTTCAAGTTTCAACACACTTTTTTACTGATATACTGTGCTACCTGCTTAGTATGAAGAGGACTTCATGACCATCACCAAACAGTTTGGTGCTCACAGAAATACAGGGAAAATAAAAAATTATAGATTCAATCTTGTCTGTCAACCCTCTCTCCCAAGAAAAAAAAACGCCCCTCTTTACCATGCCTGCAGAAATTTTTGGCTCAAATATTGCAATATAGCCATCAATGCATAAATTGGATGTGCAAATTGGATTAGGGCCTGATTTTATAAACTGAGTAAATTGTATTCCATGATGCCTGTGATGAATTCAAGTTTTCTCAAGCACTAGACTATTTAAAACCTAACTCCGAGTTAGCTTTTAACTTGGAGTGAAACAAAGCAGAAACAAAGAAAACTAAGAATAGGAATTTTTTCCCCAAAAGTTAGTCTCAAAACAAGCTGTAAAAAAATGTCAGGAACAAGTAAGAAGAAAAATAAACTTGCAATCATTCAAGAGAATGAAGTCAGTACAAGCATGATTGTACTGAGTTTCAACCAATTAATGCATATTTCCTTAGAAATCAGTTTGTGAATCAAGAGTAGGACAAAATGAAGATAATTTGACTTTATATTAGTAAAAATTAATATCTAATCTCTATTAGAGTTCATGTACTACATTTGCCCACTGATAACAGAAAATGAGAAGGCTTGTTAAGTCTACAGGTGGCCCTAACTAGAGAGGGTGCTTAGCAAGAGAAAGAACAGAAGATGAATTAATGAATTAGACATTGGTCAAGCAGATGAAGAGCAGCAGAGCACAGTTCACTAATGACAAGGTTAAGGAAGTGCAAAATACTGAACTAAATGCTTTAGATACAGTTTATCAGTTTGTCTCACAATAAGGCTTCAAAATGGGTATTATTTACAGGGGATGACAATTTGAAATCCCAAAGAAATGGGACTGTACATGAATAGAGAGAAAACATTGTCATATAGAAGCATAAACAAAAGACAAGTACCTACAATGAGGCACAGTTTCTTTAGAGGAAGTGGAGTTGGGCTTCATTGTTTAGAAATAATTTTCCAACAGTCTGATTTCAGGTCACCAGGAGAGAAAGTTGTCTATTTCTACCTCAGAGCTTTTAAGAGTAGAGATATCACAGCCCAAAGAGTGCAGACATCCTGGAAATGTCAGCTTGATGTGTCTATATTAGCTAGATATAGCACCAAGGTCAAACACATAGGACATAGAGCAGGAGTCAGCAAACTATGACTCACGGGCCAAATCTGACTCTCGAAACATTTTTTTTTTGTACAATTTGTAGATAAGAATTATGTATACATTTTAAATGGTTGAAAAAATATCAGAAAAATATTTTATGACACAGAAAAAGGATATGAAATGCCACTGAAATTGAATTTTCAGTGCCCATAAATAAAGTTTTATTGGTTTGCAGTCACGCTCATTCTTTTACATAATGCCCATGGCTACTTTCAAGCTAGTAGAATTGCATATGCCTCGCACAGCCTAAAATGTTTATTGTCTGGCCCATTACAGAAAAAGTGTATTGACCCTGCTTTAAAGTCAATAGGTATTAAATTCAAATCTTGATTTTTTTTCTAGCTATGTGATCTTAAGACAATTTCTTTCAACCTCGGTGTCCTTATTTTTAAATGATGCCTACCGTTGAAAGTTTATTGCAAGACAAAACAATAAACTATCTAAAGCACTTAACCTAGTGTCTTTCACACAATAAATACTCTAATATAGCTACAGATATTCTACCCAGATAACTCTAACTCCCTATTTAAGTTTGCAGCCTACCATTTCTATAATATGTTTTGGGCTCCAAAAATTCATTTAGAATTTCTTTATATCATTATCATACCCAAATAATATCACACCTAAATAATTCATCGTAGTATCATTTTCCTGTAAAGAAGCTAGTGTATTTATGAGCCAGAGGGTAGCATTGACATAACTAACACTGGGTAAAGTGTTGACTATGCGCTATAAACCAACTTACTTCAAGAAATATTTAGAGACCCCACCATAATCTGGGAACAATCCCAAGTACTGCTCTGGTATCCCTCTGTGAAGAGCCTGATGTTGCTTACAAATAGTCATTCTCCCTTCTTCCTCACTGACAGAACATCAGTTTTGTTAGAAGCAACAATGTCAAGGACAGCAAACAAAGCAAAACTCTACATTTTGTAATTGCCTTAAAGTTGGGGATGATTTTGGTAATAAGAAAGTAAATGAAATTCAGTGGGCAAGCTTTCCATTTTTTGTTGGATTGTCCCTTCTGCATTTTGTCCTTAGTCCTTGCCCTTCCTTCTTGCTTAACTCTGTATATCATGGCTGGAACTCTAGCAGTCATTTTGTGGTTATGAGGAAAAGGCTAAAAGAATCACAGAAACCTAAGCTTTGACATCCTTGAGCTGCTGAAACAGCAATTATCTACCTCAGGATTTCTTGATGAATCAGACAAAAGAAAGCCCTTGCTTTGTCTTTTGGTTTCTTGTAACAAAATTCAATCTCTAACTAATAGATTTATCCTCAAGAAGTTATTTGATCCACATACTTCCTTGGACCTGTGCGTCTTTAAACATCAAGACCACAGTTTAGCAATTTTAATGAGTTTGTTTGAGTCATTTGTGCCTGAGTAACATCATATAATCAACTGGCTTTCATGTGAGCAAGGCCATCAAAAGTCCCCATGTGATGGAAAAAGCTTTAAAAATAAGATATGTCATTCCTTAGAGAAAAGGAATTTAAGATGCTAAACTCTGAATGAGACTCTGAATGACTACTGACAGTGATTATTTTAATTAGCAGCATCTCTGATCTAGGAGCTTGAACTCCATGCCGCAAATGAAAAATACAATGACATTATCACTTAAATACGTTTTAAATGGAAACTTCAAACTTTATAAACCTTTAGTTCATCCATTCCTCTGAAAACATTTTCTCTTAGAACGGTTAAATTAAATGGCCAGGAGTCTTTATTGATGTCAAGGCCATTTAAGTCATTTGCGGCAGGTCACTGATTTAGTTGCATTTGGATTTGGCAAAATTTTGTCATTAATCTAATCTTATAGCCCTTATTTATACAATTTACATTTGAAGTCAATAGAAGTCAGTAGGAGGCTTATTTGTGTTGTCTCATAGCATTTAGTATTGATAAATTCTATCACTCTTTTAGTTTATTAATTTGTTTTCTGAATAAGGCTTTCATCCACCAAACTCAAGTTGTGAAATATAACAGTAATAAAATCAGCATCATTACTTCATAAGCCAAAAAATGTTGTTCTAATTTTCAGAACCAATAGAATCTAATCTTCTAACCATGAGTGGGAGGAAAACAGTTATCTGCACAGCTTTATGGACAATTTTAATAAGAATTAAACCATACATATATTTGGAAATCATTAATTAAATTCCTGGAGATTATATTTTTAGATACACTTGAGAGAAAAAAGAAAACAGCTGCACCTTTTTAGTTAATAACCAAAACAAAGTAACAGCCTACATTCTCTTGCCTTTACATTGGGTGTAATTTTGGTTTTTCCTACCAAGAGGGCCTGGCGCTTTGAAATCAAAAGCAAGGTTTTTTCATGGTTATGACATTTCCCATGACATTTATTCAAAAAAATCAATCTGGCTTTTAAAGCACTGGAAACAGGGTCTTGTGAAAGGAGGAAACCATAACAAGGCTTCATCCAACAAAGTTACTTTGATTTTTTTTTCCCAAAAAACCTTCTGAGAAGCTTTATCTGAAAATGGATCTGGGTAGTTACACTTCAAAGGGAAAGGCCATCTAAGAGGCTTTTTATTAACAGCAGGGTTATCTTCTACAGATTTTATTTTAGTCCCTTGAGACTTTGAATATAATCAAGTTATAGAGTCAATACTGAACAAAATTTAATTTAGTCTTGTCCTAATCAGGCTCAAGTTATGCAACAGGGATGACAAAAACGTCTTTACAAAAGGCATGGAAGTGTGGGGTAAATATAAGCCCTTGGTAGGGGTAGAAGGAGTAGCTAAATAGGTGTGTAACACTGTTAAGAAATATCTGAGAACACCGCATGTTCTCTCTCCTAAGTGGGAGCTGAAAAATGAGAACACATGGACACAGGGAGGGGAACATCACACACCAGGGCCTGTCGGAGGGTGGGGGGGAAAGGGGAGGGATAGTATTGGGAGAAATATCTAATGTAGATGACGGGCTGATGGGGGCAGCAAACCACCACGGCACATGTATACCTGTGTAACAAACCTGCACATTCTGCACATGTATCCCAGAATTTAAAGTATAATAAAAATAAAATATAATTAAATTTTAAACAATGTTTAAAAAGAAATATCTGAGCTGCAAGCTGCAAAACAGTGTGGATCTTGTTTCAGTTTTTGCTGCTCCCCCAATAAAAGTTCCTTAAGTTAAGATAAAACTTAGGAAATATTCTACTGCCAGCTTTGGAAACAGTGTATGACTGCCTGTTGCATTCAGAACCTTAGGGACTCAAGTCAAGTGATTTAAGATTATATCAGTAAATAATTAAATATTTATCAGTGTGGGGGAAATGCAGTAAGAAGGCTCAGTCCCACCTTTTACTCAAACCAGCTGTGTTCATCTTGGACTAAGCACTTGAAACTCCCTTAAACTCAATTTCTAACATCGCTGGACTAGGAGGTTTAACAAACACAAAAGAGCTAAACTATCTAAAAAGCAGCTTACATATATGGCTAGTATTTTCCATTTAATCACAGGTGTTCAAACCACCATTTCCTTCAAGGAGTTTTTTGTAACTACATATTGCAAGTTCACTCTGAGAGATTCTGACACACTCAAGAGTCTGCATATTTTAAAGTGCTTTAGGTCATTCTGTAGTTCAGCCAAGTTTGCAAATCACTGCAACTATACTATGAGTTAATTGAGGATAGGGACAGTGATTGACCATCTTTGAATCCCCTGTACCTGGCACAAGTGTCTGTCCCAGAGTAGGTTCTATAAAAGTGAGTGCTAACTGAAAAATATATAAATGAATGAATAAATGATAAACACTTTTAGTTACCACTATAGGCTGAGTTGTGCCCTCACAAAATCCATTTGTTGAAGGCCTAACCCCCAGTACCACAGAATGTGACTGTATTTGGAGATAGGACCTTTAAGGAGGTAATTAAGTTCAAACAGAATTGTAAGGCTAGGCCCTAATCCCATATAATTGCCACCCTTATAAGAAGAAGAAATTTGGACACAGACACCAGGAATGGACATGTACAGAGGAAAGACCCTGTGAGAATACTGCAAGCCAAAGATATAGGCCTCAAAAGAAACCAGACCTGTCAACACCTTAATTTTGGACTTCTAGTCTCCAGACCTGTGAAAAAATTAATTTATGTTATTTGATCTATCAAGTCTATTTTGTTATGGCACCACTAGCAAACTAATACAGTTAGAAAAAAAAGTATTAGGATTTACTAGAAACAGGCAATGATGTCAATACTTTGCCCAAAATCACACAGCCAGTAAGTTCCCAGGCCAGGGTTCAAACACAGGTTTACTAGTTCTATAACTCAAATGATTTCTCCACAAATTACTTTCTATACCACAGTACTGAAATGTGTGACTTATAGTAATAAATCCAGAATTATACTTGCCTTCTAAAACAGGATCCCATCTGTAAAAAGATGAAGGCGGTTTGTTTGAAAACAATATGCTTTTCTGGTAACAATGTTGTGGATGTGCATTGATATCCTCTGTATTCAGATTCTCATTCGCTACATCATGAGATAAATATACTCAAGGCTCAATTAAGATCTAAGAGGAATACAAGTATTTAACATCTCAGTTAAGTGCATTATCACAGCTTCACATATAATATGTATGGTAGTTCATAATGACCAAAAAAAGTTTTAAAACATAATTCTCAAGCATATTATTGATCTTAAATCTTCAAAATCTTGTGAAAAGCAAATTAGACAAAAACAAATTGAAAAGATTATGTGTTTTGTGTGTATACTTAAAGAGAAACTACAATAAAAATAAACCAGAACAGAATGTTGTATTTGCATTTATTACTAGGTTATGTGAGGTGTAAACCTACATATTTGGTTTAATTAGCCCATATAACTCAAGGTTGTAGGCACTTTCATAAATTAGGTCTCATGTTGCAAAAATTAATGGAGGTTTAGATATCCTAATATAAAAACTCAGGAGTGTTTTTTCTTTCAAAAGGTGTCATGAAAGCAATAATAATTATTATATGGAACTTAGGATTTTCAGAAGTAAACTAAAGTATTAAATCTAAAATATTTTTGTAAACATCTGTACATATAATACTAGAAATACACTTTTAAAATATAAATGATATCTAGTCAAGCAGAAACTGATTTTACTCATAGCAGCACGGGAAGCTACTTTCAAGTTGCAGTCCAAAAGCAGAGTTCAAAGAAATGTAAACATATTCTGTCAAATGTTGCACTCTGATTGATACCTTTTAAATGAGGAATTCACTTTACCCAGCACCAGGGGCTTTTACAAAATAAGATTCTAAAGTTTTAACAACATGAAATTAAACCATCCCAGCTTCATCTTAATAAGAGAACTTTATTGCCATCTTCTCCTCTAGGAACATAAATTTTAAGAAAAGAATTACTCTAATCACCTTGGTAAAATTTCTGGCCCAGTAAGTTTTACAGTCTAGAGCACAGCTTGGCCACTGCCCATTTATAGAAAATGTCGTCTGCATACACTGGAATGTGAATTGCTCCCCTTCAGAGTCATGCAACACTGCTTTTAACTAGGAAATATATATTTACTCTCAATTTTCTCACTAAGAAAAAACAGCCTTATTCTCCTATCCATGAAGAATTCCTATGAGACATTAAACTATGACAAAAAGCAACAGCAATTAAATAATATATAGGCAGAAATAGGAAGACACATTGAGGAAGAAAGATGCTCTCAGTAACATAACTGAAAGCAACTTAAATTCCTTCAAGGTTGTGAATTCTGTGCTTATATTCCCAACATGTATACCACCCATTCAATCAACCAATAATACTTGGACCCACCAAGAGCCAAGTGTTAAGTGAGGTTCTATTTGGGATTATAAACAAATAAACAAAGACACTGTAGTCACATTCTCATTTTCTCCCTCCTCTCTTTCCTCTCATCCCTCTCAACTTTAGTGAGCATTTCTGTATGGCAAGTCTTCCATTGAGCCAGGAGTTTACTGTCTCAAGATATATTTTTTTAAATTGAAATGTAGTATAAACATCTTCCTAAAATTTATTGAAAACTCAGTTTCTTTGATGGAATATTCAGTCTTAGTTTCTTTATTTATAAATTATTTAGGCTATATGGATTTCAAGGTCTGCTTTTTAAGTGTTTCTAAATGGGCAGGGTTGTTGCTTTCAACCTAATCATGACTTCATTCTATGACATACTGAGTCATCAGCTCAGGGTCTCCTCAGGTTTGTGGGACTCTTTGCCAACACACAACATGGCACCTGATAGATATGGCTTTGGGATTAATAGATTACATCTGTAGTTTTGTTCTTTCTTCTATTGCTGTCAGACTGTCAGAGGCTGTGTCTTGGTATTTGGACCATCATGACATCCTTTTGCCCTGACTGATGTCACATCTTAAATCACATGCAAATTTAAAATCAGATAACCAAGCCTGCTAAAGCTACATAAAAAGAGGCTTGCCCTGTGAAGAATTAGATTTTGAAGAGAGAAAACAGACTCTTTGCTGCCTACTCATCCTCAAAAAAACCTCTATTTTTCCCTTTCTTGTGGTTGTATTCTTTGAGAGAGGTAACTTAACCCCTCTCCCTACCTGCATGTTAGTGGAAGGTAATATTTTCAGCTCCTTTGAGCAGCATCTATCTGGGACATTCACATGGTCAGTCTATTGACTAGAGATCTAAAAGTCTTAGACCACGACCTGCTTCCTCTTTATTTCCTGTACTTTAAAGTAGGATGCCCTTTCTTCTTGTAAGTTGCCCCCACTAAGCAGACCTATTTGGTTGACCGTAGAAGTGGATCTGCAGATCCAGATCTGTCTCTCCTCGTGCAGACAAGCCTGACCATGTGAGTCAGTATTTGCTTCAGGGGAAGATGGCATGCTCTATTTGCTCTAAGTCCTAAGGCCAGTAATACCGCTTCCCAGCAAAGCCTTGTAAGGGGAGAGAGAGGGAGATTGGGAGGAGAGATGGTTGCAAGAATAAAAGGGTGTGTTGCTGCTATCATGTGTTTTTACATTAATTAATAAAGCTGATATTTTATTTCCTTAATCTCTGTCATTTTTTGTGTATCTAGTTCCCTTGGCCAAAAACTCCAGAGGGAAAATGATTGATTAGGTTATCTCCAGGTAAAAGAGGTATTATTGTGGAATCATTATGGAGAATAAATAAAATTGTTGAGAGAAACTTATTATTTAAATGGGATTCCTAAACTTGAAGTCAACCAGATGGTGAAGAACTCTTTTCATTTGGAACAAATGCATTTAAGTTTCTGCACGCTAATAATTTGTTTTCACACCAGCCACTTACAGTTAAAGACTGCTAAGCACTAAACGCAACATTAAGCACACACATATTCCTGTAGAATGCTAAATTTCAAAACTATGAGACAGATATATAAAAAACGTAAAAAATATCTATTGCTACTTACGCACGCCAATCATTTTTGGGTTTCTTTTTAAAGAAGCTGGTGACGTAATTTCCAACACAATGTTGAAAATCTCAACACTACACTTGGAGACTGATTTCAACATTTTGAAACATAGATTATGTAAAAGAGAAGATTAGCGATTTTCTTGAAACCTAAAAACTTGAAATGCTAACTGTTTATCTTAAAACACTTACAGTCTTGCTAAACTTTCTGTTAAGTAGGCTTGAAATGGGGTCTGTGACCCATTTCGAAACTGCCATGAGACTTGCTGCAAAGTTTGCTACTGTTACTGTGAAACAAACCCCAGGTGTTCTCAAACTACCTTGGGGAAAATCCTACACACTCCTTTTTTGGAACTTGCAGGGAACAATATGAAAGAAAAGAACCAGAATGGTTCCTGGATTCAGGAGCTCTCAAAGCTCTTTTCAAAGAGTTACCTTTAATAAATACATGACTTAAGCTCCCTGTTCCATGACTAGTTTCAAGTTGGTCATTTGAGAAGAATACAGACTCAGGATCCGAGCATCATTAGCCTCTTATGTCTTTTTTTGTTATGTACTTTTCTATACATTTTCAGTAGGAGTAATCTTTTGGACTCAATGCCGTTCTCAAGTGTATGTGTCGGCTTTGCCCATGTTCACTCTGCCAGCCTAACACACCCTAACCTAAAATTGAATTTGATTAACTGTGTTTTGTTCACAATAAATCATCATCCACTTTGAAGACTCTGGTTTCATTATCATGTGAATATCCCAGGATGTCACAAGTCAATTTGTGTCCTCAGCTCCATACATAGTCTAACACATTCTACTGTGCACATTAACTGGAAATTTCCAATTTCTAGAAAACATTCATATTTCTGATACTTTGCCAGTAGCCACTGTTCCTGCAGGCTTTCACTTAATGCATTTGGGCACAAGTATCGATCCTCAGCTGGAGTGCATTCCTCTGGACTAAACTGCTGCCAGGTAGAATTCTGGTAACAAACACATTGAGCATCTTCAAGGCGGACATGAATGTTCTCTGGATAAGTAAATTCCAGTCCCTGAAACACTAACCTGTAACAACTGCTATTTCATTTCTCTTTCCAAATCTATTTAATCTATGAGAATAGCCAATGGAAAGGTACCTGGAGTTTTCTATGTATTATTCATAAATCAAAAATCGTTGAACTAAAACTTTCTGCATTTGCATAAATTATTCAAAATAGAATTAAAATTTATTGAATATTCATTATTACTTCAAAAGCCTGTTTAACAAAATCTGTCAATTTTCCAAGTGTGTGCTTCCTTAACATTAGTACCAAAGTGTCCACCAACCTATGCCAGTTATAACCATTGTTTAGGAAGTAAATCCATGGCTGCTGTACATACTTCAATTCCTATTTTATTTCTTAGTGCTTCCAACTTGTTGATGTCAAGAGAGTGATCACCTACAGTTCCTTAGTAATGTCTCACAAATCCATCATACCTATCCATGAAAAATTCTAAGGAGAACTGATAGAGGCAATTTTTATTTTAGAGTATGATTAGAAGTGTTTACGATATCTAATTATTTAATGCTCTTTTGTGTATTTTATGTAAGCATACAAATGCATAACTTTATGTAAATACATAAAATGCACAAAAGAGCATTAAATAATTAGATATTGTAAACAGACTGTATAGACTAAATAGAGTGGACTTTTTAATCATACACTTAAAGAAATATGCTGTCCCTCAACTCCGCTCTTACTAATCCAAAACATTCTATTTTCATATGTTATCTCAGAGTCACTGCTACATGTAATAGGCAATTAATTGCAGTTAGTCATGAGTTATGAATGATAACTAATTTATACAATAAGATAAATTAGTGAATTGTAATTGTGTATAGATTCTTACTGATAAATTTAGTTTCTTATTTAATAAGTTATTTTTTCTATTATTTTAGCAAATTCACATGTACATATTTATTTTTCTAATATATTCTACCTCTTCTAAATATGGAGAACAATGATTCAAGATAATGTTAAGTGTTAGGTCCATCAAAATTACATACTACAGAAAGTGGAAAGATAGAGTACTTGAAATTTCTAATTGTAGATTATTCAGTTAAGCCTATTTTTCTTAACAGTAAATTGTATATAGATGTTGATATCTATGTACATTTGCCTAAGTGTTTCATCTATAACAACATACTAATATTTCAAGTAACAGATATCTGGAAGCCCTACATAAATCCAACAGGCTAGCCATTGCTTATTTGGGAGGAAACTGATATAAAGATTTGGTTTGTGTGTAAATAAAAACTATATTAAATGTAAGTTGATTGAACACTCCAACCAAAAGACAGAGATTGACAGAATGAGTTTAAAGAATGACATAATTCAACTACAAAAGATATTCATATTCAAAGAAGCAAAAAAGTTGAAAGTAAAGAATGGAAAAAATATATACCACATACCATGCAAATAGCAATCAAAAGACAGCTGTAGAGGCTCTATGAATATCAGGCAAAATAGACTTTAAGGCAAAAATTGGTATGAGAGAAATAAACATTTTATAACTGTATCAAATAAAATGATTTATAAATTTATATAATTTTATATATCTAGTGCAGGGATTTTTTTAGTCAATCCATCAGGAAAATATAAGTAGAAGCATATATGCATCTGAACCTGAACCCCAGAATACAGAAGCAAAAACTGACAGAATTAAAGGAAGAAATAGATAATTCAACAATTGCAGTTAGTGACTTCAATATCATACTTAAATGATGGATGGAACATCTAGGCAGAAGATCAAAATGGAAAGAGAAAACTCGAATGATCTAAAAAAAAAAAAAGTTAGACCTAACAGATGTCTATAAAACATTCCACCAACATCAGCAGAATACACATTTGTGTCAAATGCACATGAAACCTTCTCCAGGTTATATCATATGGTAGAGGAAATATAAGTCTCAATAAATCTATAAGTATTAAAATTATACAAACTACATTCTGCGATCACAAGCAATTAACATAGAAGTGTACAATAGAGGCAAATTGGAAGAGTTCACAAATAGTCAGAAATTAAACAACACATTCCTAAGTAACCAATGGATCAAAAAAGATGTTATAAAAGAAATTAGAAAATACCTTGCAACAAATGAAAACAAAAAAAACACTAAAACTTCTTAGATAAATTTACAGCTCTCCCCAAAGAAACATTTATAGCTCTAAACACATATATTGAAAAAGAAGCTCTCAAATAAATAACTTTCCACCCTAAGAATTAGGAAAAGAAGAGCAAATAAGCCCAAAGCAGGCAGAAGAAAGAAGTTAATACATATTAGAGTAGAAATAAAGAATTCTAAAAAAGAGAAAATCAACAAAACCAAAATTTAGTTTTTTCAAAAGATTAACAAAACACACAAGCCTAACTGAACTTACTAAAAGAAAAGAAAGGAAGGAGACTGAAATTACTAAACTTAGGAATGAGAGGGTATCACTAGCAACCTCAAACAAACAAAAAGAATTATAAGAGAATACTATGAACAACTATATACTGACAAATTAAATAACTTCACTGAAATAGACAAACTACCAAAACTGATTTAAGCAAACATATGGATGACCTTTTACTTTCTTTTTTTATTATCTTTAATTTTATTTTGTCATCTTGGTTTCTATCTAATGACAAGTGTGGGTTACTTATTTATTTTTTCATTTGTAAAATAAAATTACTTTTGTAAATACTTCAAAGAGAAAATAGATGGATTAAAAATAATCTAGCATTTTTCTCAAAAATATAAAATAAAAGCTTCTTATGAATCACAGTTTTCTCTTTAGAAATAGTAATAATTACAAGGTAGGAATCACTTATAGATGTAATGCATGAAAAGAAAGTCATAAGTAAACACATCATAACAGAGAAAGAAAACTGCACAAAGAAAATAACTTGGAATTTAATGTTTATAAAATCCAAAAATTAAGAATAAATAAATAAAGGCTAATAACCAGAGCTGACTTGGCAGGGAAGGCTTTCTTCCACCAATCTGAGTTGTAACTGATCCATTGTGTTTGAAGAGCTCTGTGTTTATGGCTCTTGTGTTTTCTCAAAAGTACAGCTAAGAAAGATTGAGTTATTAAATCTTAATTCAACCCAATAATTTTTTTATTATTTGCATTTTTTTTCTTTTCGTATAACCCCTATTTTATAATAAAATTGAATCATGGTTGTATGTATGCCAATGTCTCAAGATTTTCTTACTCCTTGATAGCCTTTGATCTATAATGCATTAAAAATTTATCTTAAATCTTCAATCATCATTTCCAATTTTATCTCAATCTCTGCATTTTATCTTCTATATTTGAATGACAACTCTTTGCTTAAAATGTATAATATGAGATTGCCAGAGACTAAAATGAGCTCAATATCCAAGTAATTTGGAATTGCTATCTTTAAATGTCTAATCTCATCTTGCTATTCATCATTTGCCCTCCTAAAACTGAAAAAATAAACGCAACTTTTTAAAAAATGAATGATTTGAGAAAAACCGAAATACATTACTATGTTAGGCAAAGCAATCAAGCCCTGGAAAAAACTCTATGACTTTTAAATACCTTTTTTTTGAGTATTTACTATGTTTCAGTCTAGTAGGTATACACAATAATCTGTAAAAATATAACAATAAGGAATATTTATTAAACACTTGTCTATATGCTAGTTATTGTATTTAGTTCTTTACTAAACATCTATCCCAGCCCTATTTTGAAAACAGGGAACTGAGTCAGAGAAGTTAATTGCCTAAGGCCATAAAGAAGCTGGAAAGTAGGGCTGCCAGGCTGCAGATTCAAAGTTAGTGTCTAGACTGAGCTCCCAACTACAAAGCTATAATTATCAATTGCATAGTTTCTATATGCCAATAAATTTCACATAAATTTACCAGGGAAAATATAATTAAGTAAGAATTAAACAAAGTCCGTTAGTTTTGAGAACCACAAATGGTGAAAACAACTTAAAAAAATTTTTTTGACAACCGCATTCTATTTCTTACCATACCAAAACTGGCAGAGGGAGAATTTCTCAAATATGTTTTTAAATTTATTTCTTTGTCAAATTTAACCCCAAATTATTTTGCTGTCTGTGAAGGTTGTAAATAATGTATCAGTCTATGAAAGTGACTTAGAAACTAGAATCTGGTCAAATATATTTAATTTGAACAAAATGAATAATAGAAATCTCCTTCAATATCTTTGGAAGCAAAATTTACTTGAACTTTAAAGACTCTCTTCCTTAGTTTAGGCCATAGCTATGATTATTTACACAATTTTGCTCACAAGTACAATCCAAATGATAATACTAAGAGAAAGATTTTCCTTTTTGAAAGCCAGACAGATGATGTTTTTAATCATCAGTCTTCAGTTTAGACAGGTGCCAAAAGGAAAGGACAAACATTTTTTGTCAGTCATCTCTCCACTAAGTAATTTATTACAGGGAGCCTTCTTTTCTGAAGCCCAGAAACTAATACAAACATTAGATCATAGTAATTAAATAATCACTTTCAAACATAAAGCTAGTTGAGATTGCCTTTGTCTGAGGCCTTGAGATTCTTTCCCAGGTATGATTTCTATCTTAGCACATAGAGCAGTACCTGGCACATAATGAGCATTGAACAAAAACATTTTTGAATCATTGACTATCACAAAATAGATATAAAATTACAGCAATTCTGAAACTAGTTGAATTAACAATATTCAATGAAATAGTACAAGTTACTCAAAGTTTATAATATCTTCAGTGATGTTCCATTACTACTGATAATGTCATTTAAGTGTGCAAAATGATAATTTATTCTTTTAAAATTTATGAAATCAAAAGAGATATAGGAAGATGGTTGTATAATAAGATTACTATGTCCCTCGGGAAAATTCTCTTTAGCTCCTACGAAAGCAAAAAGGAATGTAATTTACTTTTTCACTTTTGGTAATGTATAATGTCCTATGTATTCTATTTTAAAACAAAGTAAATTTTAAAAACCTATTTCAAAATTGTAATTCTTATAAATTACTATGATTGTTGTTTTCTTTCTTTTCTTTCCTTCTCTTTTTTCTTAGAGAAATTTGACAAATAAAGGGGGAAAATAGACTCAGAGAACAAGAGCTATTAATAAAAGATAAAGTGAATTATTTGCAAACAAGCATCTACATCTTTTTCTCTGCTACAGTGTCTTGGAATCTCTTATCCTTTCACAGGTATCAATGTTATGAGAATGTCATTAACTGCTGTTGAAATCAGAAGATTTTTAAACCAAGGACCTGATTGCTTGTGATTACTTTTTCCCTAGGCCTGCAAAAGAAAGGCGACATAACATTAGCAATAAAATTTGAAAATGGGGGAAATTGCTTATTTTAATCTTTTCATATATTGTTTTAATCTATGACTAAGTAAAAGAAAAACAAGTTCCAGACCATTTCAATGTTTTAAAATTATAACTACCTTTTTCTTTTCTCAAGGTGAAGTCACTAGAATTCCAAGCTCAGAATATAACAAAAAAGTAGATGAAAATGGCTTAAAAATAATTAGCACTTTATGATTTTACAAAGCTCTTCCTCGTACATTCTCACATGTGATTTCAGTAATCCTTTAAGATAGCAAAATGGAGGCTTAAAGGGAGTAAGTGATTTGCTCAGGGCCACAGAAATAGCAGAGTGGCCCAGACAAAAATCTAGCTCTTCAGATGCTTTTTCAAATGTACCAAGAGGAAGACAGTTGTCCCTGGTTTCAAGCTATCATTCAAAACTTTGGGATTCAGGACTCCTCTGAATCAAAAATCATGGAATTCTAGATACAGAGGAATACAGATAGGTTATCTAATTCAAATCACTCAATTTACAGATGAAAAACCTGAATACCTGAATGTATTCACTCAACTAAATATGTTTGACTTGTTAGAAAAACCCAAAAAAAGTTCTTTAATTACAGTCCATATGTTAGTTTTTCTTCTCCAATGTTGTCATTACTTAACTGTATGTGAATCAGTAAGACTAGCATGTCACAATGATGTAATTTCTTTCTTTAATATGCCGTTGATGTTGAACTTTTTTTCTTTCCAGGAAGAGAGTTCTCAGCCAAGAGATGTTAACTTTTGTCAACAGCTCCCATATTTGAACTTCTCCACGTTTCAGGGCAACACCCAATAGTTATCTCAAAGCTTCTGCAAGTTAAAAGTTCTGGCACAGCATAGCTCAGAATCTCACAAGGCTGTATCAAGAGGCTGTCTGGGCTGCATACTCATTTGGGGGCGGGTGTACTCTTCCAAGCTTATTCAGATTGTTGTCAGAATTTTGTTCCTTGAAGTTCCTGTATTCTTGCTAGCTGTCAGCTTGATGTTACTTTCAGTTCCTAGAGGCCACTCTTCGGTCTTAACCACCTGGGCCTCTCACAATATGGCAGCTTACTCCTTCAAAGCCAGCAGGGGATCTTACTAAATTTGAATGTCTCTGACATTTTCTGTATCTGACCTCTAGACTCTTTTTTAAAGGGATCACCTGATTAGGACAGGTATACCCTTGATAATCTCCTTTTTTATTAAGTTAAACTCAACTGATTAGGAGCCTTAGTTACTTCGGCAAAATCCCTTCACCTTTGCCAGGTAATGTAACCTAATTACAGAAATATCCCTTCCCATTGACAGCCCTCAACCATGCTGAAGGGAAAGAGATTATATCAGCTGAGTACAGTAGGACTGGGAAGAAATTATATAGCCTGTGTACACTAGGATTGGGAAACCTTGAGGCTATCTTAGAAATCTGCCTACCACAAGTCTTTGTAATTGCAAATCATGCTTTTCTCAGTCATCTTTACAGGATAAGAATAAATGTATGTCACTTGCAACTACATGGATGAAACTGGAGGACATTCTGTTAAGTGAAATAAGTCAGGCAAAGCAAGACAAATATCATATGTGAAAGCTAAGGAAATTAATATCTTGAAGGTAGTGAGTAGAATGGTGGATATCAGAGGCTAGTGGGGAGGGAGGAATGAAGAAAGCTTGGTGCAAAAATACAGTTAGGTGGAATAAGTTCTAGTGTTTGACAGCGCAGTAGAATGACTATAGTTAATAAGAATTTACTGCATATTTAAAAATAGCTAGAAGAGAAGATTTAGAATGTTCCCAATACAAAGAAATAATAAATACTTGAGTGTTGGATATCTCAGTTAACCTGATTTGATCATTACACTTTGTGTGCAAGTATCAGTATCCCATAAATGGTCACAGCTGCTATGTATCAACAAAAAATAATAAAACACTTTAAAAAGGGTTTTTTAAATTATCTTTATCATTTGTTCTCTTCTATTAAGGATGTTATCTGCAAACCTGCATATACTGCACATATACCCCTGAACTTAAAAGCTGAAGAAAAATAAAAATAAATAGCCATCACCATACCCACCCTCACCCCCCAAAGAAAGGATGTCACATTGCTCAAATGAAGAGAATAAGCCTGTTTCAGGCTTCCATCTACATAGCTCATACATAATTTGTGGTACTCAAATTTGTATTATTTGGCATCCTGACATTAATGGAGTTGGAAGCCATTATCCTCAGCAAACCAACGCAGGAACAGAAAACCAAAGACAGCATGTTTTCACTTATAAGTGGGAGCTGAATGATGAGAACATATGGGAAGATGGCGGGGAAGGACACTCACTGGGGCATGTTGGAGGCAGGTGTTGGAGAAGGGAGAGCATCAGGAAGACTAACTAATGGATGCTGGCCTTAAAACCTAGGTGATGGATGATCTGTGCAGCAAACCACCACCATGGCACACATTTACCTATGTAAGAAATTTGCACATCCTGCACATGTAACCCTCAACTTAAAAGTTGAAGAAAAAAAAAAAAGTACATCCACCTTTGCCCTGTACTTTCATTCTTATAGCTGCTAAGACAGAGCTTTAGTCTATTTCTAAATCAGCCCATGCATCTCTCACAAGCTACTGATAAGTCAATTCATCAAGGATCATCAACTGGGAAACCTTTTCAATTTAAAATTAATCAAAACATTCTATGCTAGCTGTTGGCAACTGGGAGCTTAGAAAGAGCTAGCCTTTTACATCCTTTCTTAACACTTAAGTGAATATGCCTCAACCAAGTTCAAGCTTCCTCTCTGATAGGCTGCAACCGCAAGGCTACTATTCTATAAGATCACAACTTGGCCTTGTTCCCCATGTGCCAGCTGTTTCCTTCTAAGCCCCCAAAGCACCAGTTCAGGGCTGTCTAACTTCCTGATGGGAACCAACTTTAACAAGGTATAATTATTATAACCAGAGAGCCAGATAGAATTCTGAGAAAAGCAAATCTGGCAATTGTAAAATATTTTCAGAGATCCCAGATCAAACAGAAATCCATTTTATGATCAAACTCAAATACTCTATAATTACTATTATATACCCTCATGGTAATAATTACCATCCCTTTGAATATTGGCATAGATACAATTTTAATATTTGCCTATGAAATTATTTACTAGTTCTACTCCATAATCACAATTTACGTCTTCTCCCTTTCACTATATCAATAGAAAAAATTCAGAAGTCAAACTAGAAATAAGCATTTTTCTTCAAGATTGTATTAGATTAGTTAAATCCAAGTCAATTATAGTTCTAAAATTACTTGGTTCTGCATTTCTATGTCTGATATAGAGATATAGAAGAATCACATCAGAGTAGAGTGGTTCTGAGAGCTAATCTAAAGATACAATTGAAATTATCTTACAACAATTTAAATGGAAAATAGAACTACACATGAATCATTTCTTCTTCCAGATTTGGGCCTGTAAACTACACTTTCCACTACTCCATAGTTCCTCATTTCTCACAAACAAAAGGAAAAAACAAAAGTGGGTATAAAGAATATTATATTCTTCACTAAAGCACTTCCTATTTTTCATACTGTCACAAACTCAGCTTTCCTCACCAGAGAAATCCATGCCAATGATTGCCATCTTTATTAAAATTCTGTATAATTACATGTCCTTTTGGAAATATAAACATTCTAAATTAGGATTTAGAGGGTAAAATTTAAAACTAATTTTCAACAGAAAGTTTATAATAATAAAGGAGTTTCACAAAATGCAAAAATAGATTTGAATCAGGATGCAAAAAAATTCACAAAGTCATTACTGCAATACTCTTCATGTTATTGGAATAGCGAATTACTTCCAAACCTTTGGAATTCAAGTTTGCATAAAAATCGGCTCCTTGATTTGATCTTAAAACACTGTATAGATTTCTTCACCAATGAAACTTCATTTGTACTTTCTTTTCACTGGCCATCAAGGTAAAAATCAGTTTAAAAAGGTTTTTTCCAACACAATCTATTTCATGGCATGTCATTTCTTCATCTTCTGATTTTTTTCATATTTAGTATAATACTTTATCCTTCCCAACAAAAAAGTCATTTTAAACAGAGTAATTTCCTTCATATGAATTTTGATTTAATTTAAGTTAAATACTGTTCTTCACAGTTCTAACTTTTTTTTTTCAAACTGGCTCCTTAATTTACAATCACGGTGTATTTTTTATACCATGTATTTTTTACACCGTGTATTTTTTACACAGTGATTGTAAAATATTTAAGTTTGTTATTTTTTTAAATAACAAACTTGAACATTCTGGATCATTAATTAAACTTGATCGGAATTATTGAATTTACTAAATATGTGGCTAAAATGTCATAAAATGAATGCTGATATATAAAACTCATTTTCAAATGTTCTTAGGTAAAGTAATTGAATGGGCATCTTAATCACTCTTGGTATTCTCTATGACACATAGATTCCCCTATGAATATAAAATAGTAGCAAATGCCTATTTTACCTTGCCTCTCTTCACCTATGAGAGAGATGGAAATGTTGCAGTCATATTATATAGTCTGAAAATGTTCCATATGTAACACATGAATTTTATTTGACATAGAGCACATATTGTCTCTGATCCACTCCTTTTCAGATATCAAAGTGGTCATTTAATCCAGGCTTTACTTGGAGTTCAAAAGTCCTTCCATTCCCCAACTACTGGTACTTATTAAAATGTGTCTTCTGAGTTGTAAGAAGAAATGGAGTCTATTTCTGGTAGAAACTCCCCAAAGTTATGTTATTCATACAAAATAGACTCAAAAGAAGTCTCCCATTAGAGTTGCCAACATATTTCATTACATGTTCTATTGAATTAACCATGGTTTTAACGCATGTGTTTATCTGAGCAAACATCTATTTATCTGACATGGTTGAAAGGATAGCAAAAAACAAAAAGGCTAAGAGAAAGCAGTTAATACAACAAGAATTCCTCCAAGCTGGTGATAGCAATAATAAACACGTGCAGAGAACAGAGAAACTGTAGTGTCCAGATGCCAAGGAATCTGCTTCCTGCCTGCTCTATAGAACTTCCAAAGAAAAAACAGGAGGGGACAGCTAGGCAAGAGAGAAGCAGAAGACAGCCTGTGTACCTGAAGGATCAATGCAGACCACAACAGTAAACTTCCAAAAGCACCCCTAAGACAAAATCTCTCAGTCACACTGAACCAGGATTAGAATGAGGTGAGAGAGGCATTAGCCTCCAGCCCAAACTGTGATTGCGGGTCTGCTTTATCTAAAAAAAATTCTAGGACATGCCTTTCAAGCTTCTTATCCCAAATGGATTAAATAAGTAGAAAGTGGTTAAATGTGTAAGTTAAAATGAGATAAATATCATTAGGGAATGGCAAATAAGTTCCTATGGGAGCTCAAGAAAGTAGAGATTATATATGTGGGGAATTACATTAAAGATTGCATCATTGGTACTATTCTCTACATAGCTCCAATCCCCATCTTGCCCAGGACATGACAGAATTGTACATTTGGTTTTAGTTGATGGGTACAAGGGACTATTTCTGGTCAATGAATTGCAAGCAGCAGTCATGTTTGCCACTTTCAGGCTACAGCATTTAATTGCTAAAGTGAGACTGCAGAGCTCTCTTTTTTCCCCTCTGGCATAGTAAGGAGTTAAGTTTGAAACAGTAGTCTCTGAAGAGCTGTAATTAATAAGCCTTCTCTGCTGTCCCACAAAACACATGTAGTAAAAGCAGGAAATAAAACTTTCTTATCTTAGGCCACTAATACTTTGGAGTTTCATTTCACTGCAGCATAACGCAACCTATCCTAACTGAAATAACATCAAAGTCAAGTATTCAATAATAGTTTAAGAACAGGGTTGCCAGGTAATTATGGGATGTCCAGTTAAATCTGAATTTCAGGTAAATAGTGAAAACAATAGCATAACATTCAATATTTGGAACATACTTATCCTAAAAAATGATTTATTATTTATCTGAAATTCAAATTTAACTGGATGTACTATATTTTTGTTTGCAGTGGTATCTGAGGTAGATTTTAAATTATTAGTAGAATTTGACAGATGAAAAAGGCAAGCAAATGCTCAGGCAATGGGCCAAAGACCAAAAAGTACAGAAGAATGTTCAAAGATCAGGAAGTGTAACTTAACTGAAACACTGTGTGCCTGGAATGGCAGGTACCTGTACATTTAGCTATTTCCTATGGTTCCATCCTGGTATATATTCTCATTACTCTACATATTGCCCTAAGCACTGTCATCCACTCCAGCCCTTCTTCTCTCCTGAGCTGAAATGGGGACTAGAGAGGCAGTTTGGGCTTAACTCACCTCCACAACGTCCTCCCTGGTGTGGGCTACTATCTTAAAACAGAAGCCAGATCATGCCATTCCTCTGCTCAAAACCTTTCCATGGCTTCCACCTAAATCAGAGTAAAAGTTGAAGTCCTTGCAATGGACTACAAGCCCTGTAAGATCTAGTGCCCTACACATTTTCCGATTTAATTCACTACTCTTCCCCTCTGCTCACCCTGTACCAGCCAAATGGCCTCACAGTTCCTCAAATGAACTAGACACTCTCCCAGCATGGAAATTTTGTTGTGGTTCTTCTCTCCACCTGAAAATTCTCTACCCCTAGTCTTCTATGATTGAACTTCATTTTTTCTCTCCTTCAGTTAATAATACATGTCTGCCACCTAAGCTTAAGAACATATAGAATAATTCATTTCTAATGATATTGTAATTTATGTAATCTCTTTGGAGGTGAATATAGCATTATTATTAAAGGCCATTAAAATATCTGTGACCTTTGAAACAGTAATCCAGGTCCTGGGAATTTGACCAACAAAAAAACCTCAAAAAGAGAGCATATGTGTATTTTCAAATATGCTCTTATCATCAACATTTCAATAGCGTTCTCAATAATTTAATTTATAGTAGTAAAAAACAGAAATATATGAATGGACTATTGCGTCTCGTTAAAATGTATAAAGAAGAAGACTGTGTCAACATGAAACTGGTAAGTGAAGTGATGCTGCAAGTTTTATATATATATATATATATATATATACACACACACACTGTACTTCAACTCTGTATATTGGAAAATGGGAAGAAATAAAGCAATTGTTTTAGGGAGTGTTAGTTTGCTAAGGCTGCAATAACAAAATACTAGATAATTAGTGAAATAAAGTGAAACTTAATGGGAAGATTTACGTTAATGAATTTAATAAAATCTGATCCATTCCCTCTACTTCTCAGCAAAAAGAACAATGAAAAAAGTAATGCTATTTTTATGAACAAACACAGGGTTCAGGAAATATAACTAAAATTCTGTATAAATTAGTGTAGAATCCCAATAGTTTTAAATTGTTTAAGTAAAAGGTACATTTTTCTAGGAATTTCTGAATTGGAAGGAACTTTTGGAATTGTGTCAGGTAAGATGCTTTCAGCCACAATAAACAAGAACTACTGACTCAAAGTAGGTTAAAATATGATTTTTTTTCAAATTTTATGAAAATCAGAGGATAAAGGAGCTGTTAGACTGATTAACCTATCGGCTCAGCTAGGTCAGCAAGTGGCCAGTTCATTCAATTGTTCTTCTCTAACACTCTGTGCTTATTTCATCCTTAGTCAAACAATAGTCTTAGTTATTACATCCAGATATAATATCATACACAGAAAGAAAATTAAGTTCTCTTCTTGAGAACTTTAGAAGAATGATTTCTTCAAAAATTTTCATGGATTCTTGGCCTAAAATTTTATTGTTTAAATTGAACAATTTACCTACAAGAGAAATGGGATTTTTCTTGGACCAATCAGGCCTACCATTGTATGTGGGTTGGGATGAGCATAATTTAAGACATACATCTGTGTAAAAAGAATGGTGGAAACTTCAACAAAGTTGGAGATTCTCTTAAAAAGAAGAAAAGTGGAAAATAATAACAATCTTCCTTACTTTACTTATTAACACCCAACAGATGATATTTAGAGACATCAAATACCTTGTCCAATAATTTGAGTGGCCAGGCCTACCATTGATGCCTCTCTCTTTTTGAATATGGAATGGCCAGTGAGAATATTGGTTAATCCTCTCAACTTGCACATTATAATTTACACCCAGGAAAATACTGAAGGCATGTCCTGGCATGAAATACTAATGAAATAGTCAAGAGACTCTTCTACTTTCATCACAACCAGTGAGTCATTGTCTGACTCACAGTAAGACATGTACATCTGTGCTTAGTAATACAATTCCACTGTACCAAAGAAATTAGCACTGATGCATAGATTTACTAGCTGTCATTAGAAAATAGACCTGTTATAATATAAATAAGGTGGGTAAGAATCAGACTGGAAAGCTGGATGTGAATCAAATTTATTGATTCACACAGATGGCAATATGATTTTTGAAGCTCTTAATATAATTGACTTCAAATCCATTTATCAGTCACTATTGATGCTGAAGGCAGTGTGTAAAGTTTGTTTCTTAAAATTGTGTTTTGTTTACTATTAACAATTTTGCAAAGACTTCATTGTAGATTGAAACATACCCTAGATTTGGAGTCAAAACCCCAAATTTGGAAACTGGATTTGTAGCTTACCAACTGTGTAAACTACAACTATTCAGATCCTTGTAACCCTCAAATGGGGATTAAATCAAAACAATAACAAAAGTACACCCCCAATTTTTAAAAATTTGCAGGAGTGCAGTGAAGAGAAATGAGATAATACACATGAAAACATTCAAAACATAGATTAGCACAAAATACTTCTGTCTTTGATACAGAAAAATCCATGCTTGCCAGCGTGGAGCAAGTAGTTCAGGGTTAAGATTGCCATTTTGTAATGGTGCAAGTATTTAAGCCCTCCTTGTTCAAAGAGGTGGGGGAATCATGCATAGAAAAGTTTTGGGACCCATGAGCTAATAAATCAGGTAATAACTACCCAGTAGATGACTGTTCTATCTTTGAGCTTGAATGTTTTTTCCCTATAGAAAACAAACAAACAAACAAACAAAACAGTAGAAGGAAATCTCCTTTCAAGGTTCATAGGAAAAACAGAAACATACTAAAAGAAAAAAGATAATGAAATAAAAGTTAAATCTGATGATTCTAAAAAAGTTTCACCCACATGTTCCAAAAATATTTGATACATATAAAACTATGTAATTAAACAGTTCAAATCCAAGTTTGAATCAGAACACTAGTAAAAATTAGGCTTTCTGCAGGAAATGATACAGTATTTTATTTGTCTTTAAACATTCAGAGGGCGAAATTTTTTTTAACTGAAAATCAATTGCACCTTGGAAAGAGACTATCATCTTCATCAATCTCAATTTTCTTTTCTTTGTTTTTCATTTTGGCAAAAATATATAAGGAGTGAGTTTGATAGATACTGAAAGAAGTATGCCTTAAATCAGTTAACAAAAAAGAAATGAACAAAGTCTTTTGAAAAATCTCATGTGATTGGATATCAATTCTTATTATATGAGAAAAATAAACTCAACATGTTTTTTTATTTCCGAAACCTACTGATGTATTTTGGCTAATTTATGCATGTTAGACTCCATATTTTCATGAAAACAAAGTTATAGAATGAAGGCATAAAAATGTGTTTTATAAAAGATAGTTTTATATCTTTTATAAAAACTATAAAAGATATAAAACTACTTTTATATCTTTTATAAAAACTATAAAAGATATAAAACTACTTGTATATCTTTTATAAAAACTATAAAAGATATAAAACTAGTTTTATATCTTTTATAAAAACTATAAAAGATATAAAACTACTTTTATATCTTGGAAATAATATGTCATGGAAAAATATATTAACTATTGATTTTTCTAATGATATTTCTGCTACTATTTCACTGACACACAGTCTCTTCAACTTAGCATTCCGTACAATTCTAAAGCTACAAATTGCACTGTATCTTAATCATCTAAAAAAGCATTTACTGAATATCATCTATTTGTAGACTGTGTGCTAAACATGAAAAATAGAAAATTACATAAAGCCATAAGTTAACAACACCAAAATTTATTATTTTCTTTCCTATGTTGTTCTTTATTATCAAAGGAATATATTGTCAACATAGTAATTTTAAATATAGACATTTCAAAGTGTTAAATGCTCAATGTTTTGTATGTTAATAATTTGGCACATATCTATCCTACTTTTAAACAATAATTATGTCATATAGTTAGTATCACACCATTTTCTGCTTCTAACACTACAAATTTTATGAGAAGACTACATCTGGTTTTGTTAATTCTGTATAAATCAAATTTTTATCACATACTAAGACCTCAAAAATGTTTGTTGAATGGGTACCATTAGTTTCTAAATATATGAAGCCTCCTATTAGATTTGTGTAAAAAGTATGTCTTTTTATCACCAATCATTTCTGATATAAGGAAAACAAATGAATTTGATATGCACAATTTATTGTGAAACACTTTTAGTTCCAATCAAGTTTTATTGTTTTTTCTTTTAATTTCATGGTGCGTACACTGTGTATTCCTTATGATGTATATTGATTTTATTTGTTTCAATAATCATTTTCTAATATTAAATTATGTCTAACAGGTTAAATCCTACCTGATTTTGGTAGATCAATATTTTAATAAATTCTTGAATTCAATTTGCAAGTATTCCATTTAGTAATATAGCATACTATATTTATAAGTGAGTTTGCTATATAATTTTTACTGTCAGACTCAAGACAAGTAGATTTTCATAAAATTTACTTAATAGCTTTTAGAAAGAATCTTTTCCTACAGTGTGAAATAAATGATACATATTTAAAGTTATCCTTCTTTGATATTTAAAAGAACCCACTATAAAACTAAGTAGGTTAAAAGAATTCTTGGTGTAATTTTTGGTAACTTTCAATGTCTTCCATAGTTAGCATTTTTGATAACTTATACCTTTTCCAAAAAAATCAATTTCTTCACAACTTTCTGATTTACTCACACATAGTAGAAAGTAGAATTGTTCTCAAACTATTTGAACTTCTAACATGTTGAGTAAAGTGTTCAAAATAAATACTTAAAAGAGAGTCTCAATGGACAATCTTCAATCTCTAAGCAGAGAAAAGTAAGAAGCTTGACAAACTAGTTTCTAGGATTCTCATGGAAATGGAAGAAAAAAACTAAAAGATCAATTCATTTAAAATGCAACTTAGTTAGATTCCAGGTACAAGGTTGAGAACTTCGTTGAAATGAAAGGAAAAAAAACAGTAATTTTCCATTCTTATTTTAATAATTAACTCTTGTCACAAAATAAACTGCTTTCCAACTTCTAATATTATCTTTTGGCTTTTTTCAATGCTTAAATCATCATTTTTTAAAAACTTTCTGTCTGTGTAAGACATATCTGCATATCTACAGCCATGAAGACAGTATCAGTTCTAAGCAATATTGCAGAGTAGCAAAAGTTATACTTATTACTTTTAGCTTTGCCTTTGATTTCTTCCTCCTACTACTAAGTATACCGCACCTTCCCCTTCAAGGCTGCTGAGGGTTCCCTAATGGACAGTGTCTACTGCCTGACCTTCCTCCAACAGCCTCTCATTTTCTCAACCTTTTTATTCAAACTAGTTCATTAAAGCTCTCCCTTCTATAGAAAACTAATAAGAGTATAATGTCCAAAATTGCCGATTTGGCAACCTCACAGATATGAACTCAAATTCTCCTCAATGATTTTCCAGCTATGTGAACATGTGTATTTAAATTAACCTCAACAGATCTCAATTTCTTCATTTATAAAATGAGGATCACTGTGCCAATGTCACAGTTTTACCACAATAATTAACAATAATAAGCCTGTGAAAGCATAGGTATAAGTGCTTCACATCTCTTCAATCATTTAATCATTACTACCAGTCTACTAGGGAAACATTATTACTATTAATATCTTCCTTTTTTTTTTTTTTTTTTTTTTTTTTTTTTTTTTTTTTGTAGAGACAAGGCTTCACCATGTTGGCCAGGATGGTCTCAATCTCCTGAACTCATGATCTGCCCGCCTCAGCCATTTTTAGATGAGAGAACTGAGGGAAAGAGAGGGAAAGGTGCATGTCCAGAGGCACATAGGTAGTTAAGTGATAGAGCTGGAATTTCCACCCAGGTAGTCTGACTTTCAAAGCCCTGCCCTGTCCACTCCATGACAACTGCCTCTGCATGAATGCTTCAACAAGGTAATATGTATAAAGTGCATACCCTGCTTGTCACTTAGAAAGCACTGACTATGGCCGGGGGTGGTGGCTCACGCCTGTAATCCAGCACTTTGGGAGGCCGAGGGGGGCAGATCACAAGATCAGGAGATGGAGACCATCCTGGTTAACACGGTGAAACCCCATCTCTACTAAAAATACAAAAATTAGCGGGGCGTGGTGGCGGGTGCCTGTAGTCCCAGCTACTTGGGAGGCTGAGGCAGGAGAATGGCGTGAACCTGGGAGGCGGAGCTTAGTGAGCCCAGATCGCGCCACTGCACTCTAGCCTGGGCGACAGAGCGAGATTCCGTCTCAAAAAAAAAAAAAAAAACAAAAAAAACAAAAAAAAACAAACAGAAAGCACTGACTGACTCTATGATACTCTCTAAGGTTTTCAGTCTCTTACTCAAAACCTTGAGGGCCAGATGTATTTCAGAATTCTGAATTTTTTAGATTTTTAGAAAGGCAATATGGCATCCTGAACATGTGCATATGTTATGTTAACACCTCCAGCAGGGTTTGGGGCCGCACCCCATAATCAAGCACGTTAATATTTCTGTAGCAATCAAAACATTCACACTAAGTGGGATAAATAAAGAAAACTATAAACAGCCTCACCTCACTTCAGTTTTGCTGCAAATTAGTTACCAAAATTCTGCTATTCCTAGAGCTTTTTCAGTTTTGGAATTGAGGACAAGAGATTGCGGGCTGTTTTATGCCATGCAGTGTACTGAGATGGTGCTGGGGACATGAGATGAATGAAGCACAGTGAGCCTAACAGCAGAAGAGGGAAGACAGATGAATACATGGCCATCCGGCCCTTCTGTCCCCAAACTGATGGAGTGGTTAGCAATCTGATCACTAATTCATAGTAGTTCATGGCTGAGAAGAGCTCAAAAGGTTATCCTTTTCAGGAAACTTACTTGTATGCTAACAGAGGCATTTGGAAATCATAGTGCATTAATTGAAAGGAGTCACTCCACTACTAGAATTTCCTGGCATTGTAGCAAAGTAACACAGTGTGAAAATTTTGTTGCCCCCCAAGCTCAAATATTCTCCACAAAGAGACTCCCCATGCAGAAAGCTCAAACCTGAAATTTGACCAATCCTTTGTGCTAAGCGAAGACGTGCTTCTACAACCAGGATCCTTTCTAAAACAAATTGTAGTCTATTATAGAAGATCACCACCATAATAAAAACATTAAACTTGCTTTTCAATGTACAAGCACAACAACAACAAAACAAAAAATATTGTGCCTAATGAAACAAAATTATCAACCATATTCAGGAGTCAAATAACCAGTACCCAGAAAGTCCTGGGAATGACAATACCCTGGAAATGAAAGCAAACTTTACATTCAAAATTTTTGTAAGATCTTATGCATCTTTGAAATATTATCCACATATGTTAAAAATTTTAACATAATCATTATGACTCGTTTCAAGTCCAACTGAATGATACCTCTGTCTTCTTGCAATAAAAAGGACATAAAAATATGGAGCAAGTTTCCTCTGAAATGGTCCCACATCTTTAACAATAAAAATCTGTTTTACCCTAGAATATGAAAATAAAATTGAAGAATGTTCATGTCTTAGAATATCGCTCTTAGGATAAGCCCAAATTCCTCAATGTGGCTCACCGGGTCCTCCACAATCTCCATCTGCCTTTGCCAACTTGCCACTTCTCTTTCCATTCCACCTCTCAGATTCTTGGAGTTCCAGCATTACTCAACTTTATATATTTCCCAAGGAGTATCATACCACTGGCCCACTTGATGCCCTTCATCTCACAGCTCACAAACATTCTCACCCCCACCCACTTCTCCATCCTATTCCCTACTGTTTCTTCAAGAATCTCTATAAACTTCACTTCTCCATCTCCTCCGCTTGATTAGATTCTCTTTCCATGTCTCCTGTAGACTGCCTATTATAACACTTATATTTGATAGTAATGCTTAGCTCAGCTTTTCTAGATGCAAGTTTTATAAGACTCGTGTAGTCTCTGTGTGGCGTCATTAACTAACACAGAGTCTTCCGTTTTGTAGAAACTCAAAGAACAAATTAATTTTGACAATTACATAGGCTTTTACAGGCTCTGAATATTTTTTATACTATTTAAGAGCATATGCATATTTTTCCCAGGTTAATCATCTAGTTCAGAGTCTCCATAGATGTGGGTTGGCTAGATAAGTAAACTTAAGCTAATACACTGAATTTAATCACTAATGATAACATCAACCACTGGTTTATGTTCTTCTATGCCTTCTGTGTGAAGTTGATTTATATATTTTTTTCATTTAAACCTTACTACATCTCCCTTTTCAGCAAGGAAAGGGAGAACTTCCTGGAAGTCATTAACTTAATTGACAGAGCTGGTATGTGCTCAGATCTAATTTCCCCCAGGTACTTTTTCTTTTTACTACCTTATGTTGCTTGATAAAAAAAATGCTGCCACACATTTATTTCTTTTCTGAATTAAGGAAAGGTAGGGTTCACCAAGCACAGTGTTCTCTTTTAATTATCTCATAGCACCTGGGAAAGATTATATGCAAAATATTCATCCAGTTCTGTATGATGCATTGACTGAAGAGCCACTTATGTACTTAAGTGCCTGCTTGTGAAATGATCTGTGAATCCACAGAGATAGAACAAAGATTAAATAATTATGGTGGTTACTTGCCTACTCCTCACTATTCAGAACCAGGGATAAGCATGATTGTGACAGTTGATATCTTCATAAGAGATTTTAAGTATGTAAGTATTCATTTGTGGACACATGAATGCAGGCTCTATCTGAAGGGAGCAGAAGCATAAAGCCGGAAGAAAACGCAGAATGAAATTTAAAATGATAGTAGACTTTATACCTGAAATGATTTCAGATATGTTGTATTTTCTCATAGAAGAAAGTAAAAGCAAGAGTTTAAAAAGAACTTAACTTGCAATTCTTAATAGAAATAGTAACATACTATATTTAATTAGGTAGTAGAGTATGGAATTATGAACATCTTTGGGCTATAACAGTGATAACGCAGGCTACTAAGGTTATGTGATTGATAAGTTTCAGTTATTATTCAATTTCTCTGTATTTTGGAAAACAAAATGCTACAATGCTATGGTTTGAAAGTGCCCCTCAAAGTTCATGTGTTGGAAACTTGATTCCCCATGCAATGGTATTGGGAGGTGGAGCCTCATAGGAAGTGTTTGGGTCATGGGCGCATGACCTGCATGAATAGATTAATGCTATTATTGCAGGAGCAGTTTCCTTATTAAATATTGAGTTTTGCCCACTCTCTGTTTCTTATCCTCTTCCTTCTCTTTTCCCTTATGTTATGGGATGACACAATAAGAAGGCCCACACTAGATGCTGGCACCATGATCTTGGACTTCTCAGCCTCCAGAACCATAATCCAAAAAAATTTTGTTCTCTACAAATTACCCAGTCTGTGATATTCTGCTATAGCAACACAAAACTAAGGCATACAAAATTTCAAGTCTACTAAATAAATGTACTATCATAATTTCTTGTATGTGTTAATTTAATTATAAATTTTATTGTAGGCTGGCTGTGGTGGCTCACTCCTGTAATCCCAG
This sequence comes from Homo sapiens, assembly GCF_000001405.40. Lineage (NCBI taxonomy): Eukaryota > Metazoa > Chordata > Mammalia > Primates > Hominidae > Homo > Homo sapiens. The sequence continues at coordinate 75,185,798 of NC_000012.12, forward strand.
GATTTGGGGTGGCTGAGGCAGGTGGATCACCTGAGGTCAGGAGTTCAAGACTAGCCTGGTCAACATGGTGAAACTCTGTCTGTACTAAAAATACAAAAATTAGCCGGTCATGGTGGCAGGTGCCTGTAATACCAGCTACTTGGGAGGCTGAGACAAGAGACTCACTTGAACCCAGAAGGTGGAGGTTGCAGTGAGCCAAGACTGTGCCATTGCACTCCAGCCTGGGTGACAAGAGTGAAACTCTGTCTCAAAAATAAATAAATAAATAAATAAATAAATAAATAAATAAATAAATAAAAATTTTATTGTAATTAAATAAAGAAAATAGAGGTATAATTCTAGCGCAGTTACATAATACAAAAGAGTCTACAAATCATATACCTTGGGAAATTTTTTTCTGGCTTCTCTGAGGCGCCTTCTTGGAGTTCTTGAAACATCTGGTGCATTTTGAAGAAATACACAGGGCTCTCCCTTCCATGCATCTTGTGCCTCTGCACACCACTCCAATCAAAACAATCGATTCATGGAGCATGCACAAACTCAAGGCATTCCCAGTGTTGCCCTCTAACAGGAACAAATTTCTATTTATTTCTATGATAAGATTTTAGAATATGCATTTTTCCATGTTACTAATACTCTTTTCATAAATATTTTTCAGAATAGAATATTCTATCATGTGGATTGTTATAGTTTACGTACAACCCATCTCCTTCTGTTGTAAAAAAAGGTTATTATTATAAAATGTTCACTACTATGAAACAATTATTCAAGGGACACTTTTATGCAACAATTACTTTCCTCATATTTAATAAACTTTCTTTTATTTCCTGAAAGTAAGATTATTATATTGAGAAACAATTTTGCCAATTACAAAGACAACAGCATTTCAGCAGACTTCCCCTTGATTGAAAGAAAAACTGCCATTAACTTTCATGAAGAGATTCTTATTTTCATGATACTTTATTTTTTAGTTGTTGATACCTTAGCACATTAGGATGTCAAGTAATCAAAACTCTCAAATGTTGTCTTAAATAATGGCCAAGCTCAAAAACATACAATGTTGAGCTAAATCCTTATTTCACCAAATTGGTATCTTACATCTCAGTCCTTCAGTTTTACATGGAAAAGTAAATCCAAGTATAATTTTCTTTTTATTAGCCATCTTAACACACTGTGATATATTACTCTAAAGTGATGACTTTAAAAATACACATACCAAATTCAGATAAACAATTAAATGACCTCTTCCTTTTTTTAAAAAAGATGCCCTAAGAACAGTACTTTACCAAAGGTATTCCATGAAACTGGATGTTTTCAGAAAACTGACAAATTTGGAAGATAAGCACTTTCCCTTTTTGTTTTAAATGAAACTTGTAAGAGGCTTTAATACACAATGTGCATTGTAAATTTACAAGTGGAGGTAGTGTGTGTGACTCAGTACCCAAATGCAATTTATTTTTTATGAGCAATATCTCAAAGGAATTGTGTACCGAAGAACACATTTCTGCTCTAGGAGAGTACAACCTTAATATGATATTGCCATTATTTAAAATATGTTTGGAAGTCCTCTGTTGGAACTTACTTCAAATGACAATTTACCAAA